>NC_000006.12:60829934-61129934 GCF_000001405.40 Homo sapiens
CATCCAGAACTCCTAGACAACAAGATGGTAGCCCATTAAATAAACCCTTGGTTGTAGAAGATACTATCTCCATCTTCCAAAGGAGAAAACTGAGGTTCAGAGAGAGTAAGTGACTTTCTGCAGGTACAGGTGTAACAAATGACAGTGAAAGATTTTCACCATGTTCTGTTGAACCTCTAAATTGTTTCAGTTGCACTGCAGTAATCTGTGTTTAAGAAATCAAGCCAGATAGACTATCATTTAGAAACTACCCACCTAACTAATTAATTAGTTAATTTGCATGTAACAGATTAAAGCAGTGATTTTTTTCAACCAGGGATATAGATCGGAATCACTTTTTAAAACTATAGATCTCAAAACTCCAATTTTGGAATTCTGATTCACAAGTTTGAGACTAGGTTTGTTAATCTTTATATTAGTTTTTAATGAGGGAAACTGCTGGGTTAAACTTTCACTTTTCTTTAGTATGTTATTTGAGGTTGTCTTGTCTACTCAAGTTTTTAGTGAATACGCATATTTAAAAATCTGCAAACTTAGGAGTGGAAGTAGATTAAAGGATATTTGTTTAAGGTAAAATGGGAGCAGGAAATTATATTGTTGGAGTATCAGTCACTTAGGCACACAAAGAATAAGGAAGGTTCTTTCTGTAAGCAAATTACAAAACCAGCACAAAGGCAAGTAAAGCAGTGATTTATGGACTTCAACTAACCTTACCTTTGCCTGGATTCTGTCTAAATTTTATCAAAATATAGCATAGGTACATTCATAGTATACCTTACTCACGTCTTCATCACTTCAAAAGCAAGTGAAGAGCCGACAAGATTTCTTATTTAAAATGGCACTTGTTTACATTTCTTGCCTTTCCTATCTTTTAACTAAAATGCTTATACAAACATAGGAAAAGTTGAAAATATACCACCACCTAAAATTAAGATCTAGGGACAACATCAGGAGGCTGAGTCAGGAGAATGGTATGAACCCGGGAGGTGGAGCTTGCAGTGAGCCAAGGTCGTGCCACTGCACTCCAGCCTGGGTGACAGAGCAACACTCCGTCTCAAAAAAAAAAAAAAAAAAAAAAATCTAGGGACAACTTGAAGCAAACATCTGGAAAGAATCTGTACAAAGCACAAGACAGATGAATTCAGTTTGCCTTCAAATGGAACCCTGAGTACATTTTTTTCTCAACCTGACTTCCAAGTATAAATCTGAGAAGTGGATTCAGTCATGACTCAAATGGAAAAAGAGACTGAAAAAAGACAATCTAACATCTTGCCTATGGAAAAATAGTTTAGGCAGATAGAATCTCTTTCAAAAATTAGTACAGAGAAAAGAGCCAACATGAAACACATAAAATATTTCTTTTTTTTCTTGTCACTGACAAAGTTCAGGAAAATATTTCTTAATAAACTTAAGAATATAGATATTTTTCTAAATACCACTTCATCTGTATCTCACGTTTTGATATGTATTTTTTATTATTGTTCAACTCTAAGTTTGCAACCCATGAGTTATTTGAGAATATGTTTTTAGTTTCAAACATACTTTATTTATTCTATTTTCATTTCACTGTTAGTTCTCTAGTAATGTTTTAAGACAAATTTGTTGTAAGATAATATAATTGCTTCTAATAATTTTGTTTTCTAATAAAATTGTTTTAAGATAGGAAAAATATTCCATATGTCTGTTTTTTGAAATTTGTTGAGATTACTTGTGAGCTAGTACATGATCAATGTGTACTTGAAAAGAATATGTTTTATCTTGTGTGTATGATTTTTATGATTTATCTTTAGATCAATATTATTGACCTACAGCCAGTCCAGATATAACATAAAGCAGAAAAATTATAAAATTCCACATTATCAAGAGTAAACAGGAAAGTTAAGACTGTGGGGCTAGACAAAATTTGTTTCAGATTTCAGAGGAAGCATGACCCTGTCAACACCTTAATTTCAGACTTCTAGCTTCCAAAAATGAGACCACAAATTTCATTGTTCTAAGCCACCCAGTTTGTGATACTTTGCTATGTCAGCTGTAGAAAATTAACACTAAGATGTTTGCAGATATTTCTTAGTGAATCTAAAGAGTTCATAATAGCATCAAAATGTAGAAAAATTCAAAGTAATATTTTAAAATTAAAAGTGGGATAAAGATCTAGCTGGAAATCCTAAATGAATATCAGAATAAAATTCTGGAATGAATGAATGGCATGAAAAACTGGAATTCATTTGAACTCATTGCCAATGCTCAGTCTTGAAAAGTAAAAAAAGATACAGATGGATATTTTAGCATTTTAAAATTACTGAGGGAAGAGCCAATATGGCTGACTAGATGCAGCCAGGAAGAGCTTCTCCCACTAAGAGAGACCAGACCACCAAGTACACCGGCATACTCTAAACAGATCTTCAGAAAAAAGGCATTGAGAGTAGATAGAGGGAGGATATAGATCCTGGGCTGAAAGGGGAAAAAGCTAGAAAGGCCACACAGGGCTGCAGAGCAACAGAATTCATTCCTTGCCATGAACAGATTCTAGGGAAGGGGTAAGTCAAATAGGTGTAGAACAGTCCACTCTTGCCACAGACCTCCAGGATCCTAGCTGTGGAGACCCAACAACCCCCATGGACATTTTGAGTTTTAGAGGGGAATTGCCTGGTAAGTTGGCAGAGACAGAACTCCAGTCTGCACAGACCCTGGAGGGTTTGGTGCGGGAATGGCTACAGTGGAGCATAGCCATTGCTTATCCCCCAAAGTTCACCATACTTCTCTAGTTGGCTTTAGCTTTCGTTAGCTGCCAGACCTGGAGAGAGCAGGGCTGTCTTGCCCAGTGGACACAGTCAGTCTGATCTGAATGCCCCCTCTATCTGCCGGCCTCTCCCAGGGTCCCTGTCTGGATGCACCCGCTTACAGTACAGCCTCAGGTGCCCTGCCAAAATGCTTGCCTGTGGTCACCACCATAGCTCTTTTGCCAGCAGCCCCCATCATCCCATCAGAGTACTTTTGCAGATGGAACCCTTCCAGTGCACACTCACTAGCAACCTCCCCTCATCACCTTGTTGGTGTGTGCACACATGCATACAGAAACACCACTGCCCCACTGGCTAACACACACACAGGGCCCCCTGCTACTCCACCAGCGTGCACATGTCTGGGTCTCATCTACCACTCTGTTGGTGTGCATTCATCCATACTCTACCCACCCCATTGCTGCACTAGTGCACAGTTGCCTGCAGCTGCCTCGCTGGTGCACACTCATCCAGGACCGTCTGCTGAAATGCACTCTCCCACGGTGCACCTGCCATCCTGCCAGAGCACTTTTGCTAACAGCTCCCATCAGAATGTTATTGCCAGTGGACTGGGAACACCTCTTCCCCTCCAGTGCAGTTGGTGCTTGGCCTTGAGGAACCGGAAAGCAAAACCAGGGTCCTGGTCCTAGACCGCATTGTTAGAACACGCAGCCCAGGAATGCTGAGTTAAACACTGGCCCCCTGAAGATATCCAGAAATGAAGCCAATTGACTAAACCCAACTTATACCACAGTCAAACCCTCAAGGACAACAAAGAATTGAAAAGCTAAAAGCCCCATTCACAAGGCCAGCAACTTCAGAGATTAAAGGAACATTAGCACACACAGATGAGAAGGAACCAATGCAAGCATTCTGGCAACTCTAAAAGCCAGAGTGTCTTCTTGCCTCCAAATAACCACACTAACTTCCCAGCAGTGGTTCTTAACCAGACTGAAATGGGTGAAATGACATAGAATTCAGAATCTGGATGGCAAGGAAACTCAATGAGATCCAGGATTAGGTTGAAACCCAATGTAAGGAAACCAGTAAAATGATCGAATGAAAGATGACACAGCCATTTTAAGAAAGAAGCAAACTTAACTTCTGGAAATAAAAAAATTCCCCAAAGGAATCTTATAATACAAATGGAAACATTAATAACAGAATAGACCAAGCTGAGGAAAGAATCTCAGAGCTCAAAGACCACTTCTTCCAATCAACACAGGCAGACAAGAAATTTTTTTTTTAATTTTAAATGAATAAAACCTCCAAGAAATATTGGATTATGTAAAGAGACCAAACCTATGACTCGTTGGCATTACTGAAAGAAATAGAGAGAGCACAAACAGCATGGTAAACGTATTTGAGTGTATAGTCCACAAAAATTTCCCCAACCTTGATAGAGAAATTGACCTGCAAATTCAGAGAACACCTGTAAGATCCTATACAAAATGACTGTTGCCGAAACACATAATCATCAGATTCTCCAAGGTCAACACAAAAGAAAAAAAAAATGCAGCTACAGAGAGGGGCAGGTCACGTACAAAGGGAACCCCATCAGGCTATCAGCAGAAACCTTACAAGCCAGAAGAGACTGGGGGCCTATAACCAGCATACTTACAGAAAACAAATTCCAACCAAGAATCTCACTTTCACCCAAACTGGATTTCATGAGTGAAGGAGAAATAAAATCCTTTTTCAGACAAGCAAATGCTAAGATAATTCATTACCACTAGACCTGCCTTATAAAAGGTCCTTCAGGGAGTGCTCAACATGGAAATGAAAGACTGATGCCTGTCACCACAAAGACACACTTAAGAACATAGCCCACTGATGGTATAAAGCAACTACACAATCAAGTCTACAAAACAGCCAGCTGAAAACATGATGATAGGGTCAAATCCTCACATATCAATACTTACCTTGAACATAAATGGGCTAAACACCCCACCTAAAAGGCAGAGTGCCAAGTTGGATAAAGAAGCAAGACCCAACTGTACATTGTCTTTAAGAGACCTGTCTCACATGCAATGACAACATAGGCTCAAAGTAAAGGAATGGAGAAATACCTATCATGCAAACAGTAGACAAAAAAGAGCAGGGTTGCTATTCTTATCTCAGACGAAACAGACTTTAAACCAGTGATGATCAAAAAGGACAAAGGAAGCCATTATATAATGATAAAGGGTCTATTCAACAAGAAGATTTAACTATCCTAAATATATATGCATCCAATCACACCAAGATTCATAAAATAAATTCTTAGAGACCTATGAAGATACTTACATAACCATGCAATAATACTGAGAGACTTCAACATACCACTGAAAGCGTTAGACAGATCATGAAGGGAGAAAACTAACAAAGATATTTGGGACTTGACACTTGACCAAATGGACCTAACGGACATCTACAGAATTCTCCCACCCCAAAACAACAGAATATACATTTTTCTCATCTGCATATGGCACATACTCTAAAATCAACTGCATCCTCAGCCATAAAGCAATTCTCAACAACAACAACAACAACAAAAAATACCAATCACATTCTCAGACCATAGCACAATAAAAATGAAAATCAATACCAAGAAGTTCTCTCAAAATTAAACAACTTGCTCCTGAATGACTTTGGGGTAAATAATAAAATTAAGATGGAAATTTAAAAATTCTTCAAAACTAGTGAAAACAAAGATACAACCTGCCAGAATCTCTGGGACACAGCTAAACTAGTGTTCAGAGGAAAGTTTATAGCACTAAATGCTCACATCAAGAAGTTAAAAAGTTCTCAAATTACCAACTTAACATCACACCTAGAGGAACTAGATAAATAAGAGCAAATCAAGCTCAAAGCTATCAGAAGAAAAGTAATAACCAAAATTAGAGCTGAACTGAAATAAATTGAGATGCAAAAATCCACACAAAAGACCAATGAAATCAAAAATTGGTTCTTCAAAAGAATAAACAAGACTGATAGACTGCTAGCTAGATTAATAATGAAAAAAAGAGAGATGATCCAAATAAACACAATCAGAAATGACAAAGTGGAAACTACAACCAACCCCACCAAAATACATAAAACCATCACAGACTTTTACAAACACTTCCATGCACACAACCTAGAAAATCTAGAATAAATAGGTAAATTCTTGGAAATATACAACCTCCCAAGATTGAATCAGGAAGACATTGAAATCCCAAAACGACCAATAACAAGTTCCAAAATTGAATCAGTAATAAAAAAAACTACAAAAAAAAAAAAAAAAAAAAGCACTGGACCAGATAGATTCACAGCTGAATTCTACTAGACATACAGAGAAGAGCTGGTACCAATCCTACTGAAATTATTCCAAAAAACTCAGGAGGAGAGACTCCTCCCTAACTCATTCTATGAGGCCAGCGTCACCTTGATATCAAAACCTGGCAGAGACACATTGAAGAAAAAAACTTGAGACCAATCCCCATGATGAGCAGAGACACAAAAATCCTCAACAAAATACTAGCAAACCAAATCCAGCAGCACATAAAAAACAAATCCATCACAATCAAGTAGGCTTTGTTCCTGGATGCAAGGTTGGTTCAACATATGCAAATCAATAAATGCAATTCACCACATAAACAGAATTAAAAATAAAACCACATGATCATCTCAATAGAAACAGAGAAGGCTTTCAATAAACTTCAACATCCTTTCATGTTAAAAACCCTCAACAAACTAGGCACTGAAGGAAGTTACCTCAAAATAGTAAGAGTCGTCTATGACAAATTCACAGCCAACATCATACTGAACAGACAAAAGCTGGAAGCATTCCCCCTGAAAACTGGAACAAAAGGATGCCCTTTCTCACCACTCCTATTTAACACAGTACTAGCCAGAACAATCCAGCAAGAAAAATAAATAAAAGGCATCCAAATAGGAATAAAGGAAGTCACACTATCTCTTGTCACACCTGATATAATTCTACACCTAACAAGCCCCATAGTCTTTGTCCAAAGACTCCTAGAACTGATAAACAACTTCAGTAAGGTTTCAAGATAGAAAATTGACATACAAAAATCAGTAGCATATCTATAACACCAACAACATCCAAGCTGAGAGCCAAATCAAGAATGCAGTCCCATTCACAATAACCACAAAAAGAATCAGATACCTAGGAATACAGCTAACCAGGGAGGTGAAAGATCAATACAACAAGAATTACAAAACACCACTGAAAGAAATCAGAGATGACACAAGCAAATGGAAAAACATTCCATGCTCACGGATTGGAAGAATCAATATTGTTAAAATGGCCATACTGCCCCAAACAATTAACTGATTTGACGCTATTCTTATCAAAATGCCTATGTCATTTTTCAAAAAATTAAAAAAAAATTCTCAAATTTATATGGAACCATAAAGAAGCCCAAATAGCCAAAGCAAGCCATGTGTATAAGATTGAAACTGGACCCCCCCACCTTTCACTACTTACAAAAATCAACTCAAAATGGAATAAAGACTTAAACATGAGACTAAAAGTATTAAAACCCTAGTAGAAAACCTAGGAAATACCATTCTGGAGATAGGTCTTGGCAAAAATTTCATGACAAAGTCTCCACAGAAATTGCAATAAAAATAAAAATAGACACATGGGACCTAATTAAACTAAAGAGTTTCTGCACAGCAAAAGAAACTATCAACAGGGTAAACAGACAACCTACAGAATGGAAGAAAATATTCATAAACTGTGCATCCAACAAAGTTCTAATATCCAGAATCTGTAGGGAACAGAAAACCTAATACCATGTATTTTCACTTATAAATGGGAGGTAAACATTGAGTACACATGGACTCAAAGGTGGGGACAATACACACCAAGGCCTATTTGAATGGGAAGAGTGGGAAGAGAGTGAAGGTCAAAGAACTGCCTATCAAGTACTGTGCTCGCTACCTGGATAATGAAATCATTTGTACACCAATCCTAGTGACACATAATTTACCCATGTAAAAAACCTGCACATGTACCCTCTGAACCTAAAGTAAACATTGAAAGACAAAAATATCCTAAATTAAGTATAGTAGAATAAAAATTTAGTGAACAATTGGCCTTTGTCTAATATATGCCTGTCTTCTTTGCTCTTAGAAAGTTCTAATAATGCATTAAGTATTTGTGGTGCCCTTATTAAATCTTAAATTACCTAGTGAACATATACATACATATCTAACCACATAAACCTTGGGGAAGGTTAACCAAGCCTTTCCTTCGGATATCAAGTCTATGGTTTATTTTATTCCACTCAAAAATGAGATTAAGCAAGGGATAATTACTTATGTAGAAGATTTCAGCAATTTTTTTTTCAAAAAAAATACAGTTTGGAAATAGCAAATGACTGCTATAACCAACTGAGCAATTACATCCCTTTTTAATAGTGCATAAAAACATGCACTCATTAACCCTTGTTATGATAGTATGTGAATAAATTGACATCACTTGTTTCTTTGGATTACCTGGCCTTTTTTTTTTTTTTTTTTTGAGACGGTGAGACGGAGTCTTGCTCTGTCGCCCAGGCTGGGGTGCAGTGGCATGATCTCAGCTCACTGCTACCTCTGCCTCCTGGGTTCAAGTGATTCTCCTGTCTCAGCCTCCCTAGTAGCTGGGACTACAGGTGCGTGCCACCATGCCTGGCTAATTTTTGTATTTTTAGTAGAGACGGGATTTCACCATGTTGGCCAGCATGGTATGGATCTCCTGAGCTCGTGATCTGCACGCCTCGGCCTCCCAAAGTGCTGGGACTACAGGCGTGAGCCATTGTGCCCAGGCCGATTTATCTTTTAAGATTACAGACTGGCCATTATCAGCTCAATGGCTTTTTAAAAATGTATAATTACATATGCTAATTATATGTAAGGACAGAGTTCAAATGTTATTATTCTTACATTTGCTTTCTTGCCTGCTAAATGAAAGGAAACAATTCTCATTTTCAAATAAAAAGTCTTTAAATGGCACATTTCATTCTTTAGAGTAAATTCACAAAATTAGGCTCTTCTCATATTGCTATAAAGAAATGTCTGAGGCTGGGTAATTTATAAAGAAAAGAAGTTTAATTGGCTTATGGTTCTGCAGGCTGTACAGGAAGCATGATGCTGGCATCTGCTCAGCTTCTGGGGAGGCCTTAGGAAGCTTACAATCATGGCAGAAGATGAAGGGGGAGGAGGCAGTTCACATGGCCAGAGCAGGAGCAAGAGAGAGAGCAGGGGAGATGAGCAGGGGAGATGCCACACTTTTTAAACAACTAGATCTTATGAGAAATTCACTCACTATCACCAGGACAGCACCAAGAGGACAGTGCTAAACCATTCATGAGAAATCCAGTCCTGTGATCCAGTGACCTCCCACCAGATCCCACCTCCAACATTGGGGATTACAACTCAACATTAGATTTGGGCAGGGACACACATCCAAACTATATCGTTTACCATAATACAAAAACAAAGACAAAAATGGCCTGAAGTGTGCTTTATGAAATCAGTTGTGTTACTGAATTTTACATTCTAAAAGAGCTCTACTTACTACCTGGGTGATGGGATCATTTGTACACCAATCCTCGGCAACACGCAATTTACCCATGTACAAAACTGCACATGTACCCCCGAATCGAAAACAAAAATTAAAAAAAAAGAAATTACGTTAAAAAAATAAAATAACACTTCAATTTAAATAACTCTTCTAAATATCTGTCTTTTTTCTTCAGAAATCAGATTAACATTGAAATAGTGAGACTCTGCTATGCTAGGAAAATGTATTTGTATTAGTCCATATCACATATATTTCAGTTGAGAGACTTATATTTCTCAATTAAAAATTAAAACAAAATATGATATTTTCCTCTTCTAATAGCACAAAAATCCTGAATCCTTCAGAAAAAGGAAAAAAAAAAAAAAAAAAGGACTCTGCTATGGGGCACATAGTTGACCCTGTTTTTTCCTAAAGTCAAGTAATAGATATGTTTAAGAAAAATGAAGTTAATATTTTCTCAGGAAAAAAGTACATCTGTATAAATTTTTTTAAGTTCGAGTTTTTACTTTAAATGGTTATTGTTGTAACAACACATAAAAATTATTGCCATTATTGTAAGATTTCAGAGACCTAAACATACAAGGCTAATTGTGCTCCTGTACATAAATGAGTCATGTATAAGAATAAACGATTAAAACTCCCAAATCCAAAAAAAGGAATCATTTTGTAGCATATATAAATTCAAATTTTGTTACAGCAAAAAAACAAATCTGTCTGAAGAAAAAAGCAATCAGATAATCTATACATATAATTGACATATAATAAAACTGGGCATTGATTAAATTCAGTAATATTTCAAATGCTAGTATTTTCTTTAAACTGAAAGGAAATGTATCATTCAATAGAAATCTTAGTTATACTAGAATACAACTATCAAAATGTCCTACTAAGATTTTTATCTAATTTTAAGTAGCCTAGCCAATGAAAACAAACACTCAGTGGTTCTAAATTGTTTGTATTTGTGCTACCTTTGAATCTGACCACAACAATTCTAGTAGTCAACACTAATATTGAATTAATTCTGGTATTACACACTCTAAACAGGGTCATACAGGACAGCAGAGTATGCATTCACTTTCACAGTATAAGAATGTCTTAGTACATTTAAATATATTGTCATATTATTCTTTGCCCATTATTATTGTATGGGTATTTGTTTAAAAGTAGTTATTGTCCTCATAGGGTCTCCAGTATATACCATCAGGGGACATTTTGGAATAATCTAATAAATATGTTACTTTGCTTGTTACCAGTTTGACATCATAATAAGCCCCTTGCTTCTGACTCACAATGAAGTGTACGTACATTTCCCTCAACACAATGTTACATGAATTGATCCTACTTTCCTGAATCACCATTTATGAATAAATATATCCAGGAGGAAAAATTTTTCCTCTGTCCTCTCAGGTTGAGTGTCCTGTTAAATTGAAAAAAAGGCCAATTAACAAGAGAAAAAGTTTGTTCATATGTAAAATGAAATTAACAAAAGAAGTAGCCAGCTCTTTAAATGGGTAAAGTTACAGACTTACATTCCCAATAAAGTTTCCATGTCTATTTCTTATCTTAAGTGCCTCCTATTAGGGGAATGAATAAAATAATTATATAGAAAGGATGGACTAATATACATTCATTAATAACTTGCTTAATGTATATCATGAATAAATTTCAAAATCAATGTTCAAAGTAAAACAAAACAAGTTTATTTATATAATTTTTTAAAAATACCCAAATGGTATCTATTTCATTCATGGATACATGCATATGTAGACAGTAGAAAACATGGATGGTAATAATATACATGAACTTCAGAAGTGTGGTTAACACCTAGGGGAAAAAGATTTAGCTATTGTTGCAAATCTTTTTTAAGACAGAAGGAGAGAGGGAGAGAGAAAGAGGGAAGGAAGGAGGGAGGGAAGGAGGAAATTGTTAATATATATTTAATTTCAGTGGTGTATACATAAATGTGATATTTTCTCTACATTTTATTATTTAAACATTTTTAAAGTTTTAATTTTAACTTAAAGCTCATATAATTTTAATCCCTCTGAAATTTTCGGAGAAAAATATCGTTTTTGGCTCGATCTATCCATTTATACTGGAAATCAAGCCAACAACCTAGAAACTCGAATCTCTCTCTCATCTAGAAAGAAATCACAATGCGCCGGGCATGGTGGCTGATGCCTATAATTCCAACACTTTGAGAGGCCAAGGTGGGTGGATTATGAGGTCAGGAGTTCGAGACCAGCCTGGCCAACATAGTGAAACCCTGTCTCTACTGAAATCAAAAATTAGCTGGGTGTGGTGGCACGCGCCTGTATTCCCAGCTACTCGGGAGGCTGAGGCAGGAAATCGCTTGAACCCAGGGTGGAGGTTGCAGTGAGCCGAGACCGTGCCATTGCCCTCCAGCCTGGGTGACAAAGCAAGAGTCCATCTCAAAAAAAAAAAAAAAGAAGAGAAAGAGAGAGAGAAAGAAATCAGAATCTATCTTCTTCTTTCCTCAAGAGAGCTGGGCAGTTATAAAAACTGCTTTCTTCCTTTAGTATTTTCACGTACCAAAATGGGAAGAAGTAAAATGGTACAAGTACCAAACTGCCTCTAGCTACAGAGGGGAAAAAAATGAAATTGGCCTCTTAAGGGGTTGAAGGGCTTGGAGAATTCACATGTTAGGTCATACTTCTTTGATTTCCACCCTCCTCTGTAGGAATGAATATTAGGAACAATCATAAGTATGTCAAGGTCATGTTTACCTAATTCCAATGAAGCCAGTCATAAATCTCAAATTGTTAACCATCTGCAGGGAATGAGTGGATCTTTTTTTTTAGAAGCCAAGTAGTTAAAATGGAAAAATGTGTTTAGTGTGAAAAGAAACTGGAGTGTTTCTATATTAGATAAGGGAACAGTCCGTGACCACATAATGTCATTAATGTGATCGGAAATTATGTGGTCTTTTAAATTGCTTTATTTCCCTCAGCAGAATATTAATTTCAGGTGAGTAATTTAAATTGCATTAACAGCAGCCTCCTTAAGATGACACTTCATTTAGTTTTGAAAGTTACTGCTGTTTAAGATATCCCCCAGCCTGCCATTTCACACTGGTGCTAACTTGTGCCAGATTGTATATTGTTTCTTTCAAAATACCATGGGGGTGTCAAATGCTTTATTGCAAACCTGCTGCTTTATGGGAATATGCAATGTAAATAAACCAGAGAGACACTTCTGTAAATTGCCCTATTTTAGATGGAAAATGTTTCAATTAGATATATGAAATCAACTGACAGTTTTATGAACCAAACCATTTTGAAAATATCCTTCACATGCACTAGGTATCATCATATTTTCAGAGACCATATGTTGTAAAGTAGATCCACAAGATCTTCAAGAACAGGCAAACTTATACTCAGCATGAATTTCTATCCTAATGCCTTTATCTCCTTCACTAACAAAAGTCCAGGTAAGACAACTTTCAAAATCACTAATTTGGTAGAAAGGGAAGTATCAAAATAATGTTTAAAAATTATCATGGTTATTTTCCTTATGAAAACAAGATACACGCACATTCCTGCACTCTTTCCTGGACCATCAGTCCAGTAACGCAAATAGAGACAGACCATCAGAACCTGGGACAAGGGCTACAGGGTTAAAGACATGTTTTTGTAAGCAATCTTTGTTAGGAGCCTTAAAAACCAACTCATAACATGGATAATCATTTGCAGGAGAATAAGAGTTTCATGGGTGACTGAATGAGATTATTAAATGGCTCAAGAAACTTCACAGTAGTAGCAAATAAATATATAATTTGAATTTACCTTTGATCTACCAAGCCCTTCTTAAAGGAAGGATACATTCATAATTAGATTTGACAAAGTCGTTGGTTCAATCCCCTTCTCTTTATCAAATAACCCTGTTTTTTCTTTTTCTGTTCCTTTTTCCTATTATCATAAATGGTTTACAAGCACCTTCAGAGATATATAATTTTTTTTATTTTTACAATACAAGGTCTTTGCTTTCCCAACCATAATTCCTTCTGACACACTTTCCTTTTCTCCTATAAACTCTCTATTCTAATCTGTGACACCTCTCTCCTGTGACTCACATGCTCTCTGAATTTTGCTTCCTGGCAGCTGCTTTTCTGTGCTGCCATTGCTTATTCTTTCGAGCTATTCCCATGCTGTTCAACTCAGCTGCCATGATACTGCTGTCCCTGGCTGTTAGCTGCCTCCTGAATCCAGCTCACATACTCCAGAGCCATCTTTCCAGCAAGGGAGTTTCAGGCCATTGACTCCACTCCAGCAAATCACTGATTTGACTGAGTATATCTTTCTAATTCTCATTTAATATAGGATGGAACAGATTATTTCTACAGAAACCCTAAGTTTTAAAAAGAAAAAATGCACAACATTTCCAGAAGACCAGCAGCAGGAGCGACATTCCAGAACCTTGAATTTAAGGTGCTTCCTGTTTACTTCTCTGTGAATTATCATTGCCACCTCTGTGAAATCACCTAGCCACATGAGGTAGCAAAGCTGCCTGCCACCCAGCGGGCTGCAGGGGTAAGTGTGCATTGCTATAATCCTCAAAGAGGGAAATTTGAAAACCCTTGAGAAAATAATGACAAAGAAGGATCTAAATTGCACAGCAGGAGCCCAATAACCTAGCAAAGAACATACAGTGATGTGGGATGTTGAGAATAGATATTTCTTGAATTATAGGTAATCTAAAGTTAGTCTCTGTTAAAAACATAAGAAAAAGTAACCTAGAAAGAAGAAAACACATTACCTTTCTTATATTAATCACAAATACAATAATACATTTTAGCCTTCAACAAAAACTGGCAGAATGTTCCAGAAAACTGGTCTGTTTCTTTCATATTCATGAAATGATGCAAGAAGTAGAAGCAAAGTATAAACAAGGAAATCAAGAAAGTCTTAGCTATGGTGACTTTACTATATTTCCTTCCATATGTAAGTTGCTTTTAGGGTGCTTCTTTTTTAAAAGATTATAGAGATGGGATAACTCTAAATGAGAAAGCCTTTAGCCCTAACTCCTGATAAATAAATATAATCTGGGTCATTTGTCATTGTTCCCTCGACACACTGTGTAGCAAAAAGCAGCAGGACTCTGAAGACTGATGCTGCACTCACATGGGCTGAGCAGAAATAACACTGTTTAGTCCCAGGAACTAAAGGAAATTTGTAGGCTTATTTAATTTTAGCCCATCTTCAAATGGCACTATAAAGTTGTAGGAAAGCAGATATTGTCATGGTAGCATGAAAAATATAGAAACCAAGGCTCCAGAAGAACAGGAGAATGGAGCCATTTGCAGGTCAAGGGATTAGGAACTCAGCTATGGATCAGCCAGAACAGTAGGAGCTGCTACTTTAAGATGTGCCCTAAGATGGAAGGGCAAACAGCTAGGAAAGCCTGTCTGCCTGCCTGCCTGCCACCCTCCCTCCCTCCCTCCCTCCCTTCCTTCCTTCCTTCCTTCCACTGTTGTTAGCCTGGGCTGGAATGCAATGGTGCTATCTTGGCTCACTGCAACCTCCGCCTCCTGAGTTCCAGCAATTCTCCTGCCTCAGCCTCCCGAATAGCTGGGATTACAGGTGCACGCCACCACACCCAGCTAATTTTTGTATTTTTCAGTAGAGATGGGGTTTCACCATGTTCGCCAGTCTGGTCTTGAACTCCTGACCTCAGGTGATCCGCCCACCTCGGCCTCCCAAAGTGTTGGGATTACAGGCGTGAGCCACCGTGCCTGGCCCAAAGCCTCCTTTTAAACAGGAATCTCCCTTTCCATTCTTTAACATATAATTCACATGCCTCTAGATTGAGATGATATCTAAAGTGTTCTGTGCCTACCTCTCCGACTATGGTCAGCCTATATCACAGCCTTTCAGAAAATTCCTTCCTCAGAGGAACACAGCTTGTTTTCCCAGGGTACCTTTTTATTTCTTATTACAAAAATCCTTTAGTTTAGATACGAAAATTTATTTGCTCCTTAGGGATCCTGTTTGACATATCAGAATATGTTTTCAATATTTTTATTGTGGTAAAATATACGTAATATAAAATCATTTTAGGCCGGACACGGTGGCTCACGCCTGTAATCCCAGCACTTTGGGAGGCTGAGGCGGGCAGATGACTTGAGATTAGGAGTTCAAGACCAGCCTGGCCAATATGGCAAAACCCTGTCTCTACTAAAAATACAAAAATTATTTGGGCGTGGTGGCAGGTGCCTGTAATCCCAGCTACTCAGAAGCCTGAGGCAGGAGAATCACTTGAACCCATGGGGAAGAGGTTTCCATGAGCAGAGATCCTACCAGCCTGGATTACACAGGGAGACTCTGTCTCAAAAAAAGTATTTTAAATCATATTAACCATTTTTAGATATACAGTTGAGTGGTATTAAGTACATTCACATAGTTGTGCAACTATCACCATTATGCATCTCCACAAATTTTTCATCTTCCCCCAAAGGAACTCTGCACTTATTACACAATAATTCACTTTCTGCCCTTCCCTTTCTGCCTAAAAGCAAGGCATACATTTCTCTTTGTAAAGGTGAGATAAGTTCCTATTTGTAAAGGTGTTCCCGTGTCCTGTACCAGGAAGACCACAAACAGCACTGAGATGAGACTGCATAACAAACCTTACTAAACATTCTGTATCTACCATACATTTCCTAGTACCTTCCAACAATTTATCATCGTTAGAAACCCAATGTTCTTTTCATTTTCTAGTTACTTCTCCACAACCTATCGCCCTTTGTTAAAATGGTACATAAACCCTTGAGTCTAACCACTTCTTTTTTTTTTTTTTTTTTTTTGAGACGGAGTCTCACTCTGTCACCCAGGCTGGAGTTTAACCACTTCTTTGGGTTTTCACTTCCTTTCTGTGAAGTTCCTGTACATGTAAAAATATTAAAATTTGCATGCCTTTTCTACTGTTAATCTTTTTTCAATTTGATGAGTGTGCCCCAGATAGAGAACCTAACAGGATAGAGGGAAAGTTTTTCTTCTCCTAAACTACTTTATTTCTCTATAAATTTGACTATTTTAGGCACCTCACAGAAGTACAATCATACAGTATTTGTCTTCTGTGCCTGTCTCATTTACTTAGTATAATGTTCTCAAGTTTCATCCATGCCACAGCAGGCATCAAAATTCCATTCCTTTTTAAAGTTGAATAATATTCCATTTTATGTATAGACAACATTTGGTTTATCCATTCATCCTTCAATGGACATTTGGTTTGTTTATACCTTCTGGCTATTGTGCATAATGTTACTATAAATAGTGGTGCACAAATATTTGTTCAAGTCCCTGCTTTCAGTTCTTTAGTGTATATATCCAGAAGTGGAATTAGTAGATCATATGGTAATCTATGCTTAATTTGTTGAGGAACCACCATACTGTTTTCCATAGCAGCTGTACCATTTTACATTCCACCAGCAATTTCTCCACATCCTCACTGATATTTCTTATATTTCATTTTTTAATAATAGCCATCCTTCATTCTATGGGTATGAAGTGTTATCTCACTGTGGTTTCAATTTGCACTTACCTAATGACTAGTGATGATGAATAACTGATATGTCAGATTTACAGCTATTTTATTTCTTTCCTTGTAACTGCATTTATTTATTTTTCTCTCTTTAGAACTTTATTGGCATTATAACTTATATACAATAAAATGCATATATTTAAGGTATGCAATTTGATAAATTTTGACAAAAGTATACATCTTTGAAACTGTCACCACACATTAAGACAATCCATCACTCCCTAGAGTTTCTTCTTGTCTTTTTATAACTCCTCCCTGCCACACCTCCTCTCCTTACCTCATCTGCTGGCAAGCACTGATTATCTACTTTCTGTAATTTTAGATTCACTGGCATTTTCTAGAATTTTATGCAAATAGTTATAGAATATGTACTATGAGGTCCATCCATGTTGTTGCATATATCAATAGTTTATTCCTTTTTACTGCTGAGCAGTATTCTATTATATGGATATATCACATGTTATATACACATTTACCTGTTGATGAATATTTGGATTGTTTCTAGTTTTGACTATTACAAATAAAGCTGCTACAAATAGTCCTGTATAGTGTTTGAATTGAGATAATATTTTCATGTCTCTTGGATAAATATTGAGAAGTGAAATGGCTGGGTCATTATTAATAATTTCATTATTAACTATTTAGGGAACTGTTTCATTTGTATTAGAGTTCTTCAAAGTAAGAGTGAGAAAGAGTGAGAAAGAAAGATTATGGAAATTCACTCATATGATTATGGGAGTCAAAAAGTCCCACCATCTGCCTTCTGCAGGCTGGAGAACCAGGAAAGCCAGTGGTGTAATTCAGTCCAAGTCCAAAGGCCTGAGAACCACGGGAGCCAATGATATAAGTCCCAGTCTGAAGCCAAAGGCCTGAGAACCACTGGCAGGAGGGCAGAGGAGTCCTGCTGATATAAGACCCATAATCCAAAGGACTGAGAACCAGGAAGCTTTGATGTCCAAGAGAAGGAGAAGATGGATATTCTTGCTCATGCTTCTGCCTTTTATTCCTATTTGAGCCCACAACAGATTGGATGATGTCTGCCCACTTTAGTGAGGGAAGATCTTTTTTACCCAGTCTATTTATTCAAATGTTAATATCTTCTGGAGAACCTCATACAGACACACCCAGAAATAATGTTTTACCAGCAATCTGGGCATCCTCAGCCCAGTCAAGGTGACACATAAAATTAGCCATTACAACATTACTGCCATTTTACAATACAGTGGCAATGTATGAGAACGCCAGGTCCCCTACATTCTTGGCAATACTTGGTATGGTCAGTCTTTTTCATTTTAATCATTCTAATGGGAATGCTGTAATATCTCCCTGTGGTTTAATTTGTATTTTCTCATGATAATGATAAAGAATATCCTTACATGTGCTCATTTGTCATCAATATATTTTCTTTAGAGAAGTATCTGTTCACATTTTTTGTCCAATTTTGAGTTGAATTTTCTTATTAAGTTGTAAGAGTAGTATGCCATTATACAAATATATCACATATGTCACACAAAGGATATATATATATATAATATTGTCAAATTTGTGTTTTGTGAATATTTTCTCCAACTCTGTAGTTTGCCCTTTCATTTTTTAACGATCTTTTAAAAAGCAAATGTTTTAACTTCGATAAAGTCCAATTGATTTATTTTTCTTCTATAGCTTGTGCTTTTTCTGTCAAATTTAAGAAATCTTTGCTAAACCTAAACTCACTAATATTGCCTCCTAAGTATACCTAATATTTTATTTCTAAAATAAACTGAAAGTAAATCATGTACACTAAAAAAAAAGAAGACTGACCATCCAACCCTACCATGAATTAGTGCCACAGAATCTCTGTTAGTATCTTTAAGCTCTCTGTCCCTGATGGTCCTGCTGACCCAAAAGACTATTCTTTGAAGAAGGCTGAAAACTCCATACATAGTATAACAAATCGTAAGAACTGGACTAGTGTAGATCAGTGGTAACCACTCAATACCCTCTGTAAAGGCACCTATACAGTGATGCCTAATCCATCATCCCATCTTTTACTAATTCTGTTTTTCCTTTTCAAAGACTGTAATCAGGCAAAAACAGGCAAGAGTTGCAGCCAGGAAGTGCTGCCCCCATGGAGAGACACTGGGATTTAAACCAACATAATTTGAACAGGTCTTTGGAGACAAAATGCTGAATGTGGATGGGGAAAAGATGCAGATGTTGAGGTTGAAGAGGGAGGAAGCTGGGAACCCTGCATAAGGTGCTGAATGATAAAGCTGGTTCCCAGCCCCAAACTTCTTCTGGGGAAGAGAGCACAGCTGCAAATGAAAGGATACACATAGAAGCCATGAAGCTGAGTAAGTGCTTATCTACAGCCCATTGTTCTCAACTGTCTTCTATTGGATCACAGCCAAAACTACAACATCAAGAAATTCTTGGCTAATTCTGCTTCCTGCAAAATCAAGGGCAAGAATTCAACAACAAAGATCCAGTACAGAGGCTTAGCCCTCTGAAAACTTCCACAAATGAAGCCAATGGACTATACTCAATTTAAAACACAGTTAAAGGACACCAACCCTCCCAGATGAGAAGGAATCAGTGGAAGAACTCTGGCATTTCAAAAAGCCAGAGTGTCCCCTTACCTCCAAATGAGCCCACTAGGTCCCCACCAATGGTTCTTAACTAGTCTGAAATGTCTGAAACGACAGACATGAAATTCAGAATACGAATGGCAAGGAAGCTCATCAAGAACTAGGACAATGTTGAAAGTCATTCCAAGGAAGCCAAGCAATTCAAGAGCTGAAAGATGAAATAGCCATTTTAAGAAAGACCCAAATTAAACTTTTTAAGCTGAAAAATTCACCACAAGAATTTCATAATATGATCAGAAGTATTAATATTAACAGCAGGCCAGTGCAGTGAGTGGCTCATGCCTGTAATCTCAGTACTTTGGGAGGCCGAGGCAGGTGGATCACTTGAAGTCAGGAGTTCAAGATCAGTCTGGGAAACATGGCAAGACCCTGTCTCTACTATAAATACAAAAAAATAGCTGGGCATGGTGGTACATATCTGTGGTCCCAACTACTCAGGAGGCTGAGGTGGGAGGATTGCTTGAGCCCAGGGGGTGAAGGCTGCAGTAAGCCAAGATCACACCACTACACTCCAGCCTGGGTGACAGAGCAAGACCCTGTCTACCCTGTCTCCAGAAAAAAAAGAAGTATTAATAGCAGAATAAACCTACCTGAGGAAAGAATCTCAGAGCTCAAATACCAGTTCTTCAAATCAACTCAGTCACACAAAAATAAAGAAAAAAGAATTTTTAAAAATAAAAGATCCAGCAATATGGGATTATGTAAAGAGACCAAATCTATATCACACTGGCATTTCTGAGAGAGAAAGAAAGGGAATAAGCAACTTGGAAAATATATTTGAAGATGTAGTTCATAAAAATTTTCCTAATCTTGCTAGAAAGGCTGGCATGCAAATCTAGGAAATACAGAAACCCCTGGAAAATACAATAAAAGATGACCATCCCCAAGGCACATAGTCATCAGATTCACCAAGGTCAATGCAAAAGTCAAAATCTTAATGGCAGCTACAGAGAAGGGGCAAAGTTATTTATAGAGGGAACCCCATCAGGCTAGCAGCAAACTTCTCAGCTGAAACCATATAAGCCAGAAGAGATTGGGGGCCTATTTTCAGCATCCTGAAAGAAAATAAATTCCAACCAAGAATTTGATATCATCCCAACTGAAGCTTTATAAGTGAAGGATAAATAAAATCCTTCTCGGACAAACAAATGCTGAGACAATACATTTCAACTAGACCACCCTTACAAGAGGTCCTTAAAGGAGTGCTAAACAGGCAATTGAAAAAATGACACCTGCTACCACAAAAACACACTTAAGCACATAGCCCACAGGCACTATAAATCAACTGCACAAGTCTACATAACAACCAGCTAACAACAAAATTACAGGATCAAAATCATACATATCATTACTAACCTTGAATATAAATGAGCTAAATGCCCCACTTAAAAGACAGAGTAGCAAGCTGGATAAAAAGAAAAGAGCCAACCATCTGTTGTCTTTAAGAGACTCATTTCATATAGCAAAACACACATGCTCAAAGTAAAAGGATAGAAAAAATCTACCATGTAAACAGAAAACAAAAAAGAATAGGAAGTACTATCCTTATATCAGATAAGACAGAATTTAAACCAATAAAAATTAAGAAAGACAATGAAGGGCATTACATAATGATAACGGGTACAATCCAACAAGAAGCTTCAACTATTCTAATATATAGGTTCCCAACATTAGAGCAGCAGGCTCATGAAACAAGTTCTTCTTGATCTACAAAAGGACTTAGACAACCACACAATAATAGTGAGAGATTTCTACACCCCACTGACAACATTAGATGGATCAGAGGCAGAAAACTAACAAACTCTGGACTTAAACTCGACACTTGTCTAATTAGACCTAATAGACATCTACAGAACATTCCATCAAACAACCACAGAATATACATTCTTCTCATCTGTACATGCAACATATTCTAAGATCAACCACATGCTCAGTCATACAGCAAGTCTCAATACATTGAAAAAAATTGAAATCATACCAAGCACATTCTCACACCACAGTGCAATACAAATAAAATCAATATTAAGAAGATCTCTCAAGACTACATAAGCACATGTAAAGTAAATAACTTACTCCTGAATAACTCCTGGATAAACATCAAAATTAAGGCAGGAATCAAAAAATTATTTGAAATCTATGAAAATGGGGATACAACTTACAAAATCTCTGGGATACAGTCAAAGCAGTATTAAGAGGAAAGTTTATTGTGCTAAATGCCTTCATCAAGAAGTTAGAAATATCTCTTATTAACAATCAAACTTTGCACCTAAAATAACTAAAAACAAAAAGAACAATCCAACCCAAAGCCAGCAGGAGTAAATAAATAACTAACATTAGAGAAAAACTTAATGAAAACTGAAATGCAAAAATCCTTACAAAAGATCAATAAAACCAAGACTTTGCTCTTCAAGTAAATAAATAAGGTAAACTACTAACTAAATTAACAAAGGAAAAGAAAGAGAAGATCCAAGTAAGCACAATCAGAAATGACAAAGGTGATATTACAACTGATCCCACAGAAATTTTTAAAAATAACCCTCAGAGACTACTACAAACAACTCTATGCACAAAAATTAGAAAATCTAGAGGAAATAGGTAACTTCATGGAAGCACATAATCTCCCAAGATTGAATCATGAATAAATCAAAACCTTGAACAGACCATATCAATTTCTGAAATTAAATTAGTAAAAAAGATCCTACTGAACGAAAAAAGCCTTGGACCAGATGGACTCACTGCTGGAATCTACCAGACACACAAAGAACTGACACCAATCCTACTGAAACTATTCCAAACAAATTGAAGAGAAGGGGCTTCTCCCTAACTCATTCTATGAAGCCACATCAGCCTGATACCAAAATGTGGCAGAGACACAATAAAAAAGAAGACCTCAGGCCAATATCCTTGATGAACATAGATGCAATAATCCTTAAGATATTAGCAAACCAAATCCAGCAGCACATCCAAAAGTTAATACATCACAATCAAGTAGGCTTCATTCTTGAGATGCAAGCCTGGTTCAACATACAGAAATCAATAAGTGTGATTGACCACATAAACAGAATTAAAAGCAAAAGCCATAGGATCATCTCAATAGATGTGAAAAAGCTTTTAATAAAATTCAACATTGCTTTATGTTAAAAACCCTCAAGATGTATGTTCCTAGGCATTGAAGAAACATACTTCAAAATAAAAAGAGCCATCTATGACAAACTTTAGCTAATATCCTGCGGAATGCACAAAAGCTGGAACTATTCCCCTTAAGAACTGAAACAAGACAAAGATGTCCTCACTGCTCCTATTCAATATAGCACTGAAAGTCCTAGCCAAAGCAATCGCAAGAAAAAGAAAGAAAAGGCATCCAAACAGGAAAAGAAGTCAAACTATCTCTCTTCACTGACAATATGATTCTATACCTAGTAAAACCCAAAAGACTCTGCCAAAAGGCTGCTAGAACTGATAAATGACTTTAGTAAAGTTTCAGGATACAAAATCAATGTATAAAGATCAGTAGCATTTCCATACATTAACAATGTCCAGGCTAAGAGTGAACTTAAGAAAACAAACTCACTTTAAGAAGCCACAAGGAGGGGCTGGGCACGGTGGCTCACGCCTGTAATCCCAGAACTTTGGGAGGCCGAGGTGGGCAGATCATGAGATGAGGAGATGGAGACCATCCTGGCTAACACGGGGAAACCCTGTCTCTATTAAAAATACAAAAAAAAAAAAAAAAAAAATTAGCCGGGCGTTGTGGGCGCCTGTAGTCCCAGCTACTTGGGAGGCTGAGGCAGGAGAATGGTGTGAATCCGGGAGGCGGAGCTTGCAGTGAGCTGAGCCACAAAGAAAATGAAATATCTAGGAATACAAAATCTCTGCAATGAGAACTACAAAACACTGCTGAAAGAAATCAGAGATGAAGCAAACAAATGGAAAAACAATCCATGCTCATGGATGAGAAGAATCAATATTGTACAAATGTCCATACTGCTCAAAGCAATTTACAGATCAGTGCTATTCCTATCAAACCACCAATATCATTCTTCACAAAATTAGGTAAAATCATTTTAAAATTCATATAGAACCAAAAATGAGCCCAAATAGCCAAAGCAATCCTAAGCAAAAAGAACAAAGCCAGAGGCATCACATTACTCAACTTCAAATTATACTATGAAGCTACAGTAGACAAAACCACATGGTAATGGTACAAAATTAGACACATAGATCAATGGAACAGAATAGAAAACCGAGAAATAAAGCAGCACACCTACAATCATCTGACTTTGACAAGGCCAACAAAAACAAGCAATAGGGAAAAAACTCCCTATTCAATAAATGGTGCCAAAATAATTGGCAGGAGGTGGAGGTTGCAGTGAGCCAAGATTGTGCCATTACACTCTAGCCTGGTGGACAGAGCAAGACTCTGTGTCAAAAGAAAAAAAAAAAGAAAAAGAAAAAAAGAAAGAGTCCTTCAGACAAACAAAAACTGAGGGAATTCATCACCAGCAGACTTGCCCTTCAAGAAATGTTAAGTTATTCAGATGGAGGAAAATGATATAAGTCAGGGTCTACATCAAGAAAGAAAATGCTCTGAGGAAGGAATGAATGAAAGTAAGATAAAATCTTTTATTTTTCTTATTTTTAGTTGATCTAAAACATCTGTTTCTTTAAAGCAATAATCATAACAGTACATTGGATGGTTATAACATATAGATAAGCAAAATGAATCACAGCAATGTCACAAGAGACAGAATGAATTCAGGATATTCTGTTATAAGGTAACTCTACCCATATATGACAGGGTATAGTGAGAGTTATTCAAAGATGGACTTAGAATAGTTAATAATGTGTATTGTAAACTATACGTCAACCACTAAGATGTTTTTAAAAGAAGTCATTGATATGCTGAGAAAGGAGTAAGATGGAATCATACAAAATGTTCTATTAAAACCAGAAAAAGACGGAGGACAGGGAGAGAAAACAAAGAACAAATGCAACAATCAGAAAACAAACATAAGTATGATAGGTATTAATCCAACTATATCAATATATCAGTTTAAATATGAATGGTATGATTGGGTAGAGACTGATTCTCTGGCTTATTGCCTTGACTAGGAATTTTAGATGCAGGTTACATGAGAAGTCTTTACTACCTTTTCCATTTTGCTGTAAATTTAAAAGTAATAAATATTATTTTATTTATTCTAAAATTAAAAGGTTATTGAAAACTGATATTCAGCTAAAGCCATAGAGTCCATAACCTTAGTTTCAAGTAGTTCTCTCAAAATGCAATGCATTAATTCCAAGAGGATTTGGTTTTTCCGCAAATGCAAATTTAAAGACATCATTGTCTAGAACAGCACTGTCTGATAAAACTTTCTGCCATGACAGAAATGATCTTTATGTGTGCGGTTCAGTATGGTAGTCACAAACCACATGTGACTACTGAACATTTCAAATGTGGCTAATGTAGCAAATAAAATAAATTTTTTATTTTATTTTCGATTAGTTATTTTTTTAATTTAAATAACCACATTGTACCATATTAATGCAGGTGTCTTGTGCAAGTTGAATACAAGTCTTAATTTAAGCAAGCGACTCACTCTCCTACCCAGTTCTAGCATTAACTTATTATATTAGGTGCTAAAATTTTCATAGTTGGAATTTTGATATTATGAATTTATAAAAATATTTTTTTCAGACTTTAGCAGATTAACTATGAAAATACAGTTCTGAAATATAATATCAGGAGAGAAATAAGATTAATTCCAATTTTAGAAACCTCTAGTCCAAATTATGGACTTTTATTTTGTTAGAAACTAACTCCTTTCATCTCAACAAAAATTGTGTATGAACTAAACTGTGCAACTGCGTCAAGCTATTATCACACACGTTTTTTTTTTTTTTTTTTTTTGAGACGGAGTCTCGCTCTGTCGCCCAGGCTGGAGTGCAGTGGCGGGGCTCACTGCAAGCTCCGCCTCCCGGGTTCACGCCATTCTCCTGCCTCAGCCTCCCAAGTAGCTGGGACTATAGGCGCCCGCCACTACGCCCGGCTAATTTTTTGTATTTTTAGTAGAGACGGGGTTTCACCGTTTTAGCCGGGATGGTCTCGATCTCCTGACCTCGTGATCCGCCCGCCTCGGCCTCCCAAAGTGCTGGGATTACAGGCGTGAGCCACCGCGCCCGGCCTTATCACACACGTTTAAAGCTTCTATCACAGTACCACCAGCTTTCAGTTAAAAACAGAGCCTGGCTAGAAGTCCCTGAAATGGAGTAATCCCCAAATTCCCACTAAAATATCTTTGAAAGCAAAAACAAAGACAATACACAATAGCACTGAAAACTAGCATCAACTTTATGGAAGAATTTTCATTAGTTATTAGGCCAATGGATCTGGGTTGAGAAACACAGGTTTTTTCTTCTAATTGGTTTAGCCATAAGAAATGGAAAATTTATCTGCCTAAAATTAGGCCAAAAAGCCATTAGTCCTCCGGATATTACTTTCTAGTTCATAAACAAAATCTTTATTTACCTGAAAACTGGGTAACTGTTGTTCTTCTGCCTCAAAGCAGCGCTTATTGAGGTAGCCCCAGTGAGTAATTGTCTTTGCATGTTGGGGAAACAAAATTTCCAACAAAAAATTGGGCTGCAAATGAAGGCCCCAGAGATGGGTGTTGTACACTTGCTGGCACCATCCCCAGGCAGAAAGACTGTCAGTGGAAGTGGAAGCCAAAATATCTCTAGTGACACATGGTGTATGGTCTTGTCAAATTAAGTCTGATATGGAAAGGGAAGAAACCATCTTCATGAGATATACATATTCAGTGTCACTGGGAACTAAACCAGGGCAGGAATATCCATGCTGTTGTTTCAGAAGAGGGTTCACCTGGCATCAAATGGAAAGTGAACTGGAAATATAGAAAACTGTAGATTTGACCACAAACTTTATTAAAGGAAGATGATCTGAAACTCAACCAAAAATGATAAGTGATTTAAAAAATAATGAAAATTTGACAGATGTGGAACCCAGAGAATGAAGAAACTATGTTAAGAATTACAGTTATTCCCAAAGATGTAACTAGAAACACATAACAGAGGCCATGGTGAGTGACAGAATTGAATAAAACTTGTCAAAGCTAGTTAAAGACATTATAACTTAGTTTAAAAGGCCAGCTCAACTATTTTCCAAGTAAATATCCATCAACAGAGCAAAATCTACATATTCTATGAAAGTGCCCAATTAACAGGCTAAAATAAAGTCCATAAGGCTCTAGGCAGAAAAAGCAAAGAAACTGGCCTCTCCATCAAGGAACAATATTAGGCTGGCCTGAAATTTTTTTCTTTGCAATATGTAGTAAGCACACAATGAATTTTTAGGGAGAAAAGGCAAATAATACAAGGATGTAGCTCTGCCAAGTTGTCATTCACATGTGAAGATAACAAAAAGACAGTCTCAATGACAGAGGGTTCAGAAAACATACCACTGTTACACCATTTTTACTTAAAAGGTCAAGTGCAGTTATGTAGTGGAACTCTTATCCTTTGCTTTTCACATCTCTATCTCAAACTATAAAAACCATATTCCTGCTTCAGCCCAAAGTCTGCCTTCCTAGGGAGGCTGGGGAGAGGGTTTTCCAACTTTCTTTCCTCTCTAAGAAGGGAAGAACGGTGGAAAGAACCTACCCTTCATTGGTTCTCACTACTGGGGAATAGTCGTCGTGCCTCGAAGGAAGAAATGGACTCCACCGATTCTCTCTGCTGCTCCTTCTCTGCCTCTGCTGTAATTACCTGCTCAGGCAGAGCATGCTCTCCTCTTTTCCCTGTTCCCAAGTGGTAGACCATCAGCTCACAGCCTCCAGGCTTGGAGAAAAAAGGCCTGCAATACATCTTTTCTGCTTATGACTGAGTGGAGAAATTAATTTCTGGGTACATCCTTGGCTTTCTCAGCTTTACTACTGTGTAGATAGGAGATTTGACTCTGGACATCTATTCCATCCTCTTTCTATAGAATATTCCTGTAAAGCTGAGAATGGAAGACCCAACAATTCAATTCGTAGGCTACTTTGCACTAAAGTTCCAGGTGTGATTCAGGTTAGACCAATCAAATACATTTGTAGGAGATTTGGAAAAAGCTGCAGTATTGCACAAGGCACTTTCTCCAGCTGCTGCTCCTATTTCTGCTGGCAGCACAGTCATGAAGGACCTTAGTTTTTCTGAGGCAGCATTAATAGTCCAGTCCCTAGCTTCACAGCTGTCAAAAGGCAGACCATGGGTCATCCATTTTGCCAGCACACTTTCTAACAAGTGGGACATGATTGTGCAGCCAGGTGCAGAAGCAGCTTCCTAATCATGGCTGTGACAGAATGACCCTGGAGCTGGACGTTTCCTGATTATAGCAGTGGGGGAAGCTTCATAGGTGACCTGGTCCTGGGCTGTAGCTTGGGAGTCGCTCTTGTATATTCCATTTTATAAACTATTTAATGTCATGTACACACACACACACACACACACACAATTATTTTTCCTTCTTTAACTAGCAGAAATGGATTCGTTTCTCTGCTACTGAACTCTGACCAATACAACCAGAGAGCCATATACTTGTTCAGGTGTTATTGATCCTACTTGACCCCTATATCTGTTATCAATTCTTTAGAACTTGGCGGGGGAAAGGGATGAAGATTGGGCTCTCCTAAACCTCCAAAATCAGTCATCTAAGAACAGGATTAAAATTAAAAACTCAACATTTTATACAAGGTTGTTATGTAAAAGGATTGGTGGTGAGCATTAAAATCAAATAATGTTTGACTATATAACATTACTGTAAACATAAAATAAAAATTTCACAAATAATACATAAAATATATATAGCCTAGAAAGTACTTATTTAACTACTCATATAGCCTAAAATTCAAGATAAAACTAATGAAGTTTAGGAATTTAGAGCTATTATGGGTCAAAAATAAAAGTGGCATAAAGAATACTAAAAATATACTATTTAGCTTTTACTAAAATAAAGATTTTAAATGTAGCTGGAAAGTTATTTTTTCAAAAAATGTGAACCTCTACTATGCCTTAAATATTGGCAAACAAAGCAAAATTGGGACATTCGTAGAAAAATTCAGAAATAAGGAATCAGTAATTATGGCAAGGAAAAGTAAATTATAAAATAACATATCAAATCCTTTAGATCATAAATGTGAATAATATAGATTTCCCAATTAAATTATAAGGTTATGATACACTGCTTACAAAAGAAACAATAACAGAATGATTACAATGGGTTAAAAATAAAAGCCTTGTAGAAAAGATATCAAACTCAAGCCGAAATAAAAACAGTAAACACCAGGGGTAACAATATTAATTTTAGACCAAGCCACATTTAAGATACCAATTATTAAGTGGGCAAAAATTATCACTTAAAAAGTTGAATCCATAAAACAGAGATATACACTTTCATTTGACAAAACATGAAATAAAAACTAAGAAGTACAAGGAGGAATATGTAGGCACACAACTGTTTGGGAAGCTCATAAATTCAAGCTCTGGCAGACCATATTAGTGTTAATACGGAAGAACATAGATATTTTAAATCATATGTGGAGGGAGAAAAAACATTTGTTCTTTATAAAAAAGAAATAAACTCTCTAGGAATATTCATCTGCTCCTGGTAAAAAGAAAAACAAACACCTTTCTTTGAAAGAAAGTTAAATTTAAACCTGTTAAAATGTTTTTAATTCCAGGTACAAAGATTCGCGTATATAGATATTAATAATAGTTACCATTTTAGTGCTTACTGTGTCCCAGACATTCTGATAAGAGGTTTACATGTATTTATATGCAACAATGACATAATAAGTTAAAAATAAGGAATGAAGAATGTTTGCTAACTTGAAACAGTCACATGCTATAATATGAAGCGGGATGTCAAACTAAGAGTACATGTATTTGTGTGCCTGTGTGTATACATACAAATAGTATGATCAACCTTTGTAAAACATAGACAAAGTCTGAAATGAAACAAAAGCATCCATATAGTAATGGCAGTTTCCTCTGAGTAGTGAGATTACAAGTGATTTTTGTTGTTGTTCTTTATATTTTTCTGTAGTTTCCAAACTTTCTTTCTATACTTCACTATTTAATTATCAAAAAAAATGAGTTTTAAAATAAAATACATAGGGGAAGTTTCTGATAAATAAAATGTCAACCCATTACAATATGAAACAAGGCCCCTTATTTTAAATTTCGCTTTAATAATTTGAAATATCAACCAACTGAACTAAATAGATGTTCCCTTCACTGTAGCAATGTTGAAGGCATAGTTTAGTATATCTAACTAGGAGCTGACTTGAACAAACTTTTTAGCTAGTTATAGTAAGGAAAAATATAAAAATAGCAGCTTAGCAGAGAATCTGATAAAACCAAAATACCACCTTGGTATGTGGCAGACATGTTCTTGTATAAAAACACTTTATTGATTGTGACCAAGGCAATTGTATTTTATAGAATAGGGAAATAAAAAACATTGTAGAGATGAAAGTCTACAAGATGCATGTATATATGTAGGGGGGAAAAAGTCACTAAAAGTAGTTGATATTGGTTAAAAAATTAAGCTACCATACTTTGAAGAAAAATTAATTAGTAGTTCACAAGACAAAAATGAATAAAGGAAAACATGAAACCCATGAAGTTTATGGTGAGATGGAACACATATACTATGTTTTTATGAAATCCAAAATCAACAGGAATAATCACTAGAAAATTAGGGGTGTAGGAAAGTGGGATTATGCTTAAGAATCCACTTACAAACTGACTACTATCTAAAGCTCTCTCCTTCTTCATCTCCTCAATAAGATTTGACAATTATTTATGTAGGTAATAAAAGGTACATGAATGAATGTAAAATAATAAGTCACGCATGATTATAATTTGCCACTCATTATGTTAAGTCCAACACATTTGCTTAATTCTTTCATCAACTCCATGTAGTAGACATTATTAACATCTCCCTTTCACAGATGAGGTAACTAAGGCTTAAAAGAAAAATAATGTTTTAATTGTCCAACTAGAAAATGGTAAAACCAGGACTTAGATACAATTTCATCTGACTCCAAACCTCTGCTCTTAACCATTGTGATGTGCTATATAATTAATGCCAGTAGATATTTATATTGGAATGTCAAATTAATTATTTGTATCAACTTTTCCTCACTGTGACTGCCTTTTGCACAATATTTCAATTACCTTACATCTAAATTAATCATAAATTAAATCATTAAGAGCAAATATGGTGACTAAGTTAGAACTACACTCCCAAAATGTTTCCAGTTTGGAACTGGTAAGTTAGAATTTTCACAAGAATTAGAAAGTGGAAATGAATGTCAACCATGACTCTCAGAAGGTCAATGTGAGTTCGATGCAAAGATAGACTGGCATGGAGTTGGCAGCAGGTTTCAGTTGGTCCTGGTTCTGTACTCTGCATCCACCTCTTAACAACAGCAGTCCCAGGTCCACCCCCAGTCTCTTGGATGTGGATGCACAGAGGCCTTAGTTACCCAGAGTCACAGCTCCCCATGGACTTTTCCATGAACTTTCCCTTCAGCCTCATTTTGGCAGTTGGAAATCCTTTGCAAACTTTTCATATTAACTGGTTGCTGATCTTGCCTCTCACCCTTCAATTCCTTATTGGACGTTCTCTTTTCCAGCTCCTACCACAACTGTAGAAATTCTAATTCCTATAATAAATCCCTTATCTCAAATACTGGCAAAACGAATCCAGCAGCACATCAAAAAGCTTATCCACCATGATCAAGTGGGCTTCATCCCTGGGATGCAAGGCTGGTTCAATATACGCAAATCAATAAATGTAATCCAGCATATAAACAGAGCCAAAGACAAAAACCACATGATTATCTCAATAGATGCAGAAAAAGCCTTTGACAAAATTCAACAACCCTTCATGCTAAAAACTCTCAATAAATTAGGTATTGATGGGACGTATGTCAAAATAATAAGAGCTATCTATGACAAACCCACAGCCAATATCATACTGAATGGGCAAAAACTGGAAGCATTCCCTTTGAAAACTGGCACAAGACAGGGATGCCCTCTCTCACCGCTCCTATTCAACATAGTGTTGGAAGTTCTGGCCAGGGCAATCAGGCAGGAGAAGGAAATAAAGGGTATTCAATTAGGAAAAGAGGAAGTCAAATTGTCCCTGTTTGCAGACGACATGATTGTTTATCTAGAAAACCCCATTGTCTCAGCCCAAAATCTCCTTAAGCTGATAAGCAACTTCAGCAAAGTCTCAGGATACAAAATCAATGTACAAAAATCACAAGCATTGCTATACACCAACAACAGACAAACAGAGAGCCAAATCATGAATGAACTCCCATTCACAATTGCTTCAAAGAGAATAAAATACCTAGGAATCCAACTTACAAGGGATGTGAAGGACCTCTTCAAGGAGAACTACAAACCACTGCTCAATGAAATAAAAGAGGATACAAACAAATGGAAGAACATTCCATGCTCATGGGTAGGAAGAATCAATATCGTGAAAATGGCCATACTGCCCAAGGTAATTTACAGATTCAATGCCATCCGCATCAAGCTACCAATGACTTTCTTCACAGAATTGGAAAAAACTACTTTAAAGTTCATATGGAACCAAAAAAGAGCCCGCATCGCCAAGTCAATCCTAAGCCAAAAGAACAAAGCTGGAGGCATCACACTACCTGACTTCAAACTATACTACAAGGCTACAGTAACCAAAACAGCATGGTACTGGTATCAAAACAGAGATATAGATCAATGGAACAGAACAGAGCCCTCAGAAATAACGCCGCTTACCTACAACTATCTGATCTTTGACAAACCTGAGAAAAACAAGCAGTGGGGAAAGGATTCCCTATTTAATAAATGGTGCTGGGAAAACTGGCTAGCCATATGTAGAAAGCTGAATCTGGATCCCTTCCTTACACCTTATACAAAAATCAATTCAAGATGGATTAAAGATTTAAACGTTAGACCTAAAACCATAAAAACCCTAGAAGAAAACCTAGGCATTACCATTCAGGACACAGGCGTGGGCAAGGACTTCATGTCCAAAACACCAAAAGCAATGGCAACAAAAGCCAAAATTGACAAATGGGATCTAATTAAACTAAAGAGCTTCTGCACAGCAAAAGAAACTACCATCAGAGTGAACAGGCAACCTACAACATGGGAGAAAATTTTTGCAACCTACTCATCTGACAAAGGGCTAATATCCAGAATCTACAATGAACTCAAACAAATTTACAAGAAAAAAACAAACAACCCCATCAAAAAGTGGGCGAAGGACATGAACAGACACTTCTCAAAAGAAGACATTTATGCAGCCAAAAAACACATGAAAAAATGCTCATCATCACTGACCATCAGAGGAATGCAAATCAAAACCACTATGAGATATCATCTCACACCAGTTAGAATGACAATCATTAAAAAGTCAGGAAACAACAGGTGCTGGAGAGGATGTGGAGAAACAGGAACACTTTTACACTGTTGGTGGGACTGTAAACTAGTTCAACCCTTGTGGAAGTCAGTGTGGTGATTCCTCAGGGATCTAGAACTAGAAATACCATTTGACCCAGCCATCCCATTACTGGGTATATACCCAAATGACTATAAATCATGCTGCTATAAAGACACATGCACACGTATGTTTATTGCGGCATTATTCACAATAGCAAAGACTTGGAACCAACCCAAATGTCCAACAATGATAGACTGGATTAAGAAAATGTGGCACATATACACCATGGAATACTATGCAGCCATAAAAAATGATGAGTTCATGTCCTTTGTAGGGACATGGATGAAATTGGAAACCATCATTCTCAGTAAACTATCGCAAGAACAAAAAACCAAACACCGCATATTCTCACTCATAGGTGGGAATTGAAGAATGAGATCGCATGGACACAGGAAGGGGAATATCACACTCTGGGGACTGTGGTGGGGAGGGGGGAGGGGGTAGGGATAGCATTGGGAGATATACCTAATGCTAGATGACGAGTTAGTGGGTGCAGCGCACCAGCATGGCACATGTATACATATGTAACTAACCTGCACAATGTGCACATGTACCCTAAAACTTAAAGTATAATTAAAAAAAAAAAGATTTATAATAGGATTATATAAAAAAAAATTATAACAAATGGTTTCTGTGGGTCAGGAGTTGGGAGTAGCCTAGCGGAGTGATTCTAGCGGAGGTCTCTTGTGAGGTTGCAGTCAAGATGCCAGCTGGGGGCTGCAGTATTTGAAGACTTAACTGGGGTTGGAGAATCTACTCTGAGGGTCAATGCACACAAGTGAGAGAGCACTCAAGCCAGAGGCCACAGTCTTTTAAAATGCATAATACAGGAAGGGGAACATCACACACCGGGGCCTGTTGTGGGGTTGGGGGAGGGGGGAGGGATAGCATTAGGAGATATACCAAATGTTAAATGACGAGTTAATGGGTGCAGCACACCAACATGGCACATGTATACATATGTAACAAACCTGCACGTTGTGCACATGTACCCTAAAACTTAAAGCATAATAAAAAAATAAAAAATAAAAAAAAAAAAATAAATCCCTTATCTCATAACTCATTAGTGGTTCTGTTTCTATGATTGAACCTTGACTAATGCAACAAGTATAACCTTTTAAACAAAACATAAACTTATGAAAATAATGTCAATGAAATATATTTTTTTTTTGGTTACAAGGAAAAGAATATCCAAACCAAATTGATTTTTTTTAAGTGAAGTAGGGGCATTTATTGGCTCATGGAACTTAGTAAAAGGGCAACAATAATTCTGAGCACAGCTTGATCTAAGAGCTCAAACCATGTCAGCAGGACCATGTCTCCTCATCCAGATTCTGCTTCCTTCTGTGTTGGTTCCAATCCCAGGAAGCCACTCCTATCATGGGGACAGAAGAGAGAATAAAATGGCCACCAGCAGCCTCAGACTTACATTCTTTACTTCTCAACGAAAGCAGAAATGAAGAGCTTCTTGCCTATAACAAGTTGAACAAAAGTCCTGGACCTTGATTCCATTGGTCCAAATTAGGTCAAATGCCTATCTGTAAATCAATGCCTATGCCCAGGAAGAGGTAAGCTTTATAGATGGGCTCAGGCTGCAAGTCAAGCTCAACACCAACCAGATGGCATATAAAAAGGAGAATGGACGCCTGACAGATCCACAAGAATATCCACAAGTGTCAGATATCCCTTTTGTAAAATCATACAAGAAATAAACTAAAATAAGAAAACGAACTTAGAGAAGCATCACCCCAGGTTTACTTATTTTATCTTGGTAATGAATAAATACTCTGCTTTACTTGTCCATGTAGCACTCACTATAACTTTACCCTGGTGTCTGTGACACTGAGGAAAAAGTACCAAGAAATCTACTATTATCCAAAGAATACTGATTAGATCGGGCCTTGCAGAATGTCCTTTAAAAAAATCAGCTTTAAAAAACACCTTGTAGTAACTGTCAAGTTTCCAATCATACTTCCAGACAGATCAGCATTTGTGGTAGGAACTGTTCTCAGTTTTTGTTAAAAATCTCATTTGCCAGTAGGTTCATATATTTTTTAGATGTCTGGCCTAATTTCTTTCAACTCTGTACATATCACATATTTTTTTTAGCTACAATTAGTCACTAAGACTTATTAGCATAGTAGTAGCTCCAAGAAACTCTAAACTACAAGTCAGCGTGGATTTTTGCTTTTATGTATTTCTTGACACTCAGGATAAGTGCTTTGTTTCTTCCGCCTGGAATAAGGCACACATCAGGTTTCCTCTTTTCACTCCTTGAGGATAACTATTATCATTAGGAGAGAACGTTAGAATAATTCTTAAAGTAACACATCAAAAGGATTTGGTTGTGTTTAAGCAGTCTCTCAATTCTTTGACTATAGTGTAGCAAAACTTTCAGGCATCAGGAGAAAAAAAAAAGTTAAAACAAACCCTTTACCAGCTGCTACATTTGGAGGTGAATCCATAACACTAACTGACAACTTTTCATATGAAATTCAAAGAGTCTGAAGTTTCCTTTTTGTATTCCCTGAATATCTGTTCTCTCCACTTCAAAGGACTGTCTGCTGCAGAGCAAGGAGAGGTGGCTCATATACAGTGGCACTCCTCTTCTGTTTAAATCATACCATTCAGCAGTTCTGGGGCTGCCAGGCAATGATAAAAGGGCACATGGTTTTGATTGTTTATTCTTCAATAGCAAAGGCAGAGAAGCACCATGAACAAGGGCAAAAACTAAGGAGATAAGCAGGCTAGGTTCTAACCACTGCTCTGCCACTTAGTCTTGTGTGTGACCTTGAACAAATTATTTGACTTCCAAATTACTCCTGTCCTCATTTGTAAAATGAATATACAGTTGTCCCTTGGTATCCAAGAGAGATTGGTTCCAGGACCCACTTCCCTACCTCCCCATACCAAAATCTGCGATGCTTAAGTCCCTTATGTAAAATGGCGTTGTATTTGCATATAACCTATACACATTCTCCTGTATACATATTTTTAAATCATTCTAAATTACTTATAATATCTAATACATTTTGTATTAGATAGGAAGAAAATGTAAAAAGTATTGGACAAGACATCAGAGAAATGCAAATCAAAACTACAATGAAATATCACTTCACACCCATTAGGATGGTTATATTAAAAAAGACAGATAAAAACAGGTCTTGGTGTGGATATGGAGAGATTGGAACTCTCCCATACTGATGGTGGTAATTTAAAATGGTACAACTACTTTAGAAAACAGTCACACAGTTCTCCAAAAGGTTAAACATAGTGTTGTCATAGGGCCCAGCAGTCTCACTCCTAGGTGTATACCCAAGAGAAATGAAAACATGCCCACACAAACACTTGTACACAAATGTTCATAGCAGCATTATTCATACTACCCAAAAAGTGGAAACAGCCCACATGTCCATCATTTGATGAGTGGATAAACAAAATGTAGAATATCCATACAATGGAATATTATTCTGAAATAAAAAGGAATGAAGTACTGATACATGCTACAACATAGTTGAACCTTGAAAACATTACACTATGTCAAAGGAGGCAGTCAGAGAAGACCACATATTATGTAATTGCATTTATATGAAATGGTCAGAATAGGCAAAGCTATAGAGAAAAGCAGGTACCCAGTTGCTGGAAACTGGGGTGAGGAGTAACAGGAAATGGCTGCAACAGGGTATAGGGTTTTGGGGGAGGTGAAGAAAGTTTTCTAAACTTAAGATAGTAGTGATGGTTGCAGAACTCTGTGAATCTACTGAAAATTATTCCATTGTACATTTTAAATGGTTGAATTGTATGATATGTGAATTATATCTCCATAAAGCCATTTTAATAAAAATGTTGTGCGTTGTAGGCAGAATAAATTGCCTTCACCCATAGTATTTTTCTTTTTGTCACTGTTCAGTATTTACTTTTCCAATATGATTTCATAGGCTTGGGAAAGGCCTTTGTGTGCCAAAAATGTCTCCTGCCCTTACCCTGCTCCTGCTTCACTAGTTTATAAAATTATACCTTATTAATTTCACTCCTTCTGCTGAAGGCTTTGCTTCTAACAAGTATTCAAAATAGCTCAAGGAAAGATTTCTCACTGAGCTTTATCAACCATGTGCTATTTAGTATGAATGAGTTTGCCATATCTTTTGCTGACATCGGGATTTGGTTGAAGGCAAACAGAATGAGGATAAACTGCCAAGGGATGAAGGAAGAGGGCATTCTAATGAAAAGAGGGTACACATACATTTTCATCCCTTAATGTTTTAACAGCAATGATCCTACTGCCTACCTGTCTTTGCTAATACCCTGATATGTCTCCTCTGTTTCTCTGTTTTCTCATCTACTGATTCATACCATCTCTGTATCCTGCAGGACCTGAATCAAAGGTCCCTTATGCCAAAGCCATGATTGTATAAATTTACTACTTATGTTTCTATTTCCTATGCTTTTGGTCCATATCTTTATTTATTTTAATTTGAGATTACATTGAAACTTTTTCAAGCTGCTTCATATATATGAGTTTTGCTCTTTAAATAAAATATTAGTTCAGTAACAACATGACTATGTCATAGATTGTGGATAGGTTTTGTTTAGAGGATCAATTCCAGTTGATGGTCAGGAGCTGTCTGAAAAGGACTCCAAACCTTTCTACCCTCAGCAAGGAGGCATACTGTGATTGACTAGCTATGCCTGCAATTAACATGGGAGGGAGTAGAGAATATGCATGCCACTCCTCATTGTTGTAACTCCCTAGACAGCCCTTTGTTATTTGATACTTCCCTCTGCCTTACAATCAGTTATGAGTTTTACCTACACAGTAGAAAAACTTTCTTTGTTTTTGCACACCAGCATGGGCTGTCTTGTTAGATCATTTGCTAATAATCCTAACACTCTGTACTCTATAACACTATGTGACACTACAATATTTCATCTATTATTTTGTAACACTACCTATGTTAGACTTAGATCGTCTAACCTCCATGAATAAGAAAAATATTTTTTAATATATATACATGACATACTGCACAGCACACACTGTTGTCTGTCTAACCAGCATCCATCCCCTCAACCCTCCTTCTGAAAAACAATTACAATGTTGCTTCCTTATCCACCCTTTCCCATGGGTCCAGGTGATTCAGGGGAGGTTGGGGCTACTACAAGGCAAAGCCTTGAAGCCAAACTTGACAGTTCTGTTCCTCTGCCTGGGGTTGGTTTAAGCCAGTAATGTGATGCAACTCTGACGGGAAAGGAGATTGCTGCTGGATTGGGGGCATCTGGGAGAGTCTCCCTCTCCCTCTTTTCAAGACTCACAGAAATAGATGTTCTCTTCTTTCTCTGGACATTGTTGTGTGTGGATACTAGGCCTGGAACTGCTATACCCTTCATGCTATGAGGCTAAGAACAAGGTCTGTCCGCAGAGGAGGGTGAAACAGAGAAAATGACAAAGAGGCAGAGCCAGAGTCATGACAGCCTGTACCTGGGGTATGCCAACTTGCCCCATCACTGGGCTTCGTAAGAGAGGTAATAATCCTGGTAATAATTCTGGTTCTTTTTAAACCTACTTGATTCCAGTTTACTGATACTTCACCTTAGTGATATGTGTGGTAATTCCAAACTATAGTTATACCTATATATTTGATAGCACAGACATAAACATTTATCAGTAACTGCAATGACCCAATCAGGTTCAACTTTGTGTAATAAAGTGGCAAGTTATTTCTCGGTTGCCATGGACCCCAAGGTGGCAAGTTATGTAACCCGAGCATACCCAGATGAACCAAGCATGCAACCATGGGCAGAACCTAAGTGCTCAGACCAAGGAATGGTGACTGAATGAAGAAGCAAACACCACATGGCATGATCCAGGTCCAATCAGACCAAGCCCTGTGATCACCTCATGGCATAGTCCAGTCAATACACACCTCCCGGCACCACCCCATCACAAGATCCAATCAGATCACACTTCATTACCCTCTGACTATAAAATTTGCCCAGCCTCCATCTTGGAAAGACAGATTTGAGCCTGACTCATGTCTCCTTGCTCAGCTGCCTGGTAATAAACCTTTCTCGCTACAAAACCCAGTGCTTTTGTGTTTGGCTTTCCATTGCACACAGGCAAATGGACACAGTTCAGTTTAGTAACATGTCTCTCTGTGTGTGTGTGTGTGTGTGTATGTGTGTGTAATTTCAGATGCTCTTTATAACAATTTTCTAAAGCAGCTATTTTACAGGAATTATCATCTTGAATTAAAATATAAAGAAACTGAGCCTCAGACATGCCAGAAATCACACAATTTGTTAGTGCCATGCTTCATTCATTCATTCATTCCTCTAGGCCCTCCAGCCTGGATCTAGGGTGGCATTATTAAGCAATACAATTGTTTGTTTCATCCAAGAAAAACCAAATGCATTATTTGTGCCAGGCATTCATCTAAGGACTGGTGACACACCTGAAGGTGACACACCTGCTGTCATGGAGCTTTTAGTTTGTAGGAAAATATATGTGATAACTATTGGGAGAAAATGTTACACAATTCAGGCCAGCTGTGTTGGCTTACACCTATAATCCCAGTAACTCTGGGAGGCCGAGGTGGGCGGATTACGTGAGGTCAGGAGATCAAGGCAAGCCTGGCCAACATGGTGAAATCCCCTCTCTACCAAAAGATACAAAAATTGACCGGGTGTGGTTGTGGGTGCCTGTAGTCCCAGCTACTTGGGAGGCTGAGGTGGAAGAATTGCTTGAACCTGGGAGGTGGAGGTTGCAGTGAGCTGAGATCATGTCACTGAACTACGGCCTGGGTGTCAGAGTGAGACTCTGTGTCCAAAGTTAAAAAAAAAAAAAAAGAAAAAAAGAAAATGTTACACAGTTCGAATGGTAATATGTCCTATGAAGGAAAAGGTCTTAGATTGTTTAAGAGAACCTTAAAGTATGTTAAAGAATAACCTCATCTGGACCAGGATGTTAGAGTTGCCCTCCCTAGGGAGCTGAAGATAGGAAGAAGTTAGTTGTGGGAGGAGGAGGAGTTGGTTGGAAAGCATTTCAGGGAAGAAGAAACAGTATGTTAATATGAGTAAGGCTCTAAGGCAGGAAGGAGCTTGGTTCTCTCCCGGAACCAAGAGAAAGCCAATCTGCCAAAACATTATGTACCCAGGGATGTGGACATACCAAAGACAAAGTGGAATGGGCCAAGAGTATTAAGAACCTGAAGCCACTGAAGAGTTTTAATTAAGGAAGTGATGGGATTGGATTTACACTTTAAAAGATTTGGAGAGAGGCTAAAGAGGAAGGGAATATATGAGATTATTGAAGAATAGGCAAGAAATGATGGTGACTTAGACAAATTAATTAATTCATACTAAATGCTTCTGCCACACAAATCCTCCCTGCTGTCCAAAGTCCTGTGTAGCTCCTATCCTGGCAATAGCATAATCCATAAACCTTTATGGCATTGGGATTCAACTGTCTTTCAATCCAAGAGAATGAATAAGAGTCACAGAGAAGCATTCCCCTGGAGCCTGTCACAAAAGCATATGCCTTAATTTACAGGTCACACTGTGTTCTTATAAAATTATTTTTCATGAGTTTGCAATACGGGTCCTCTCATGCACAGGGCTCCTGTCAGAGACCCCTCAGACCTAGGTGTAAGGAGAGAACTTGCTGAATAACACAAGGATTTGTCGTTGGAATAGTTCCATCCAAGATAAACTGATTGCTAAGTGCATGTTAACTGGATGGATTAAGCTGCTATAAAAAACAAGATTATTAAATATAAGCCAGTTAAATGTTGAGGAACAACTATCACAAATGACAGCCTTAGTTTAGAATAACAGACTCGCAGCCCTTCTTTTTGTTTACAATTATGTGGCAGATTCAGTTTTATATTAAGCATATTGCTGGTTTGTGACAGAACAGTCAACATCAGGGCACAGGGTGAGGATGGGGGCTGGGTGGCTTCTCTAGAGCCCACGCAGGAGGAGTGTGGCAGAGGGAAGCCACCTGCACTGCCTGTTACTGGTGGAGCGTGTCCAGGTTCTTGGCTTTTTGAACAAAGAATTGAACAAAACACACAAACAAAGCAAGGAAAGAATGAAGCAACAAAAGAACAAAGCAGGGATTTATTGAAAAGGAAAGTGTACTCCGCAGGGTGGGAGCAGACCCCAGCAGTGGCTCAAGGGCGTAGATACAGAATCTTCTCAAGTCCGAATACCCCCTAGAGGTTTCCTACTGGCTACTTGGTGTTCACCCCATGTAAATGAAGTGGTGGTAATCAGTCCGATTGGTTGTGGAAAGCAGAGGCTGAAGTAAAGTTACAAAGTTACACTCCTATGCAAACCTCTGATTGGTTGCAAAAAGCAACTTTCAATTTCCCATCTGCCCTGCAGAAAAGGTGGGGGTTTACAAAAGGTGCTGCCTCTGGTCTTTTTGTTACTTAGGCTTGGAAAGTTAGGGTTTTCCTTTCAATTTAGTTCTAGGAAGTCAGTGTGAAATGGCCTTAGCTTCCCTGCCTCCAGACCCTGTTCTCCTACCTCATGCCCATGTCAGCTGTAGCAAAGGCCTCCAGGTGCTTTCACTTGAGAATGCAGTGGACCCATGGCCATAGAGGCAGTGGCTGCAGGATCCAGGGCTTGGGGGTGCCTGAGGGTCACATAGCTGTCACCCCCATGGTGTGTCGAGTACAGCCATTTCATAGCCAGTGAGAGGAAGGGTGTTTGCCTGCACCCCCTTCACCAGACCATCCTGATTCTTTCATTTTTATATTTTAATTATTCTCTCTGCATTGTACGTAAAATTCTAAAGGTTTTTTTCCAATTAGATTTTATGCAGCGTTGATTCTGAACCTCAGTGCTTCTAAAGATCTTCAGTTAAAATTCAGTGACTATGGTTTTGTCTTTAAAATCCTTGTCTCATCCAGCTCTTCCTCCCTCTCAGCAAGACAGCCTTTCAGCTGAGACTGTTATGAGTTCATCTTTGATCGTCTCTGTTTTTGCAGAGTCATTTAAATGTTTAATAATTGAGGACATAAAGAAGATGCATATTTCTGTTTTCTGTGGAATGCTTATCTTTTGTACCTAATATTTGGTATAAAATTTTTTTATTTGCTTCCTTCCCACTGCCCCCACCCCACCTTGTCTTTAAAAAGGAGAGCCAACATATACTACAAATGGTCAATAATAATGAAATGTGTTTAACAGTGATATATCAAGTTCAGATTAAGAAAGAGATGTACTTACTGCAAGTCTCAGAGAATGTAGAGAAGCAGGGGTTTGTCTTTCTTTCACTGACTGTCCATCTTCGCATATCCTGGCATTGAATCAACACCTTTAGGTTCTCCAGAGGTCAATGGTTCAAAGTGTACAGATCCCAATGCTAGAGGAAGGATCACATATTATATCAGTATTATGATAAGTCCATGACTCTGGTGTAAACCTGATGTCATACTGTGTATTTTGTAGAGTGATATACTTGAACATATGACACCTAACTCCTAAGTTTTAATGAAATCACTTAGCACTTTCAATGACTTACTATTATCTTTTTTTTAAATCAAGGATTAATTTAATTTTTAAAACAAATACAAGTTATTGATTTACTCTTCTCAACTTGACAGTCTACCTGTAGTATAACTGTCAGGTAAAAACATACATCTTTACAACTTGGCGCCCCCAAGTAAAAACAAACAAACAAACAAACAGACACACCATTTCACAGAAAGGAAAGAAACAACATGAAAACAGCTCAAGAAATACAGTAACGAGCAAAAATATATGGGGAAAGAGGAACGTGTAGTTGTGACTTAACTGAAGAAACCAAGAGGAAACTGGTCTACGTATGAAAATGTGCATCCTGAAAGTCAGGTGTCAAGATTTCCGAGTAGGCATCTATATGACTCGAATCTCCCCTATTTCCTGAATAAAAGTGACATCTTTCAGTATTTATACTTCTTGGCTCAGACACCTACCTCATTTCGTTCTATTCCTTACTCACTCTAGCCTTTACTTAAATGAGTCTGAAAAACTTGGGGATATAGCATAAGAAGAAAAATAATCACACGTAATATTCCCTTTTCTGTAGCTACTTTAGACCTGGGTTGTTACTAGAAAATTCCTGAAGAAAATTTCAATGTAAGTCTGTGGCTTTGCTGAATCAAGCCCCCCCACCATTAATATTTAAAAAACACCCACTGTTTGGGCTAATAGCATTATTGGTGGTACCTATTATATAGAGGGATAGCTGAACAAAGTCTGTGTCTTGAAACCAGTGTTGAATCACTCTCAGGGTTGAGAAGAAAAAAGGGGAGTGTAAAATCACAAGAAGTAAAGACATATCTAGGACTCTTGTCCTTCTGGATCCACGCTTCCTTCAGGGTATTCATCGTTGTAAATGTTCTCTGCCATTTGCCACACTTGCATGATATTGTCTTCTGGTACAGAACAAATCACCCAAGGTTCATTGGGATTCCAGGAGAAATCAGGTATCTTGGCAGTGTGACCACCATGAATAAACAACAACTCTGGTGGCCCGTCTTCTTTATCTTCTGGGGATTGTTTCTCTCCAATTTTACTTAAATCCCAGACATTCAGTCTGTGATTGGTACCACTGGAAGCCAAAATAGTCTCATTGTGAGGTGACCACTGAAACTGGAATATTTTATCCTTATGTAATTCAAAGGAATGCAACTTAAGTTTCAGATTTCTCAGATCCCGCAAGGCAACAGTCTTGTCAGCAGATCCTGTGGCAAGAATGAACTCACTATAAGGATTGAAAGAGAGGCAGCAGTGTGAGCGTCACTTCAGCAGTGTGAGCGTCAACTGAATGGCTTGGTTTGGAAGCACTGTGTGAACAAGTACCCCAAATCATAAGTTTCTGATCACCAGCAACTGACCCAAACAGAGACTCATGGAGCAGATGCCAGGAAACATCTACTACTGCTGTATGCCCTGTAAACATGGTCTTCACATCCACCACTTTTCCCTCCTTTGGAACAGCACTGATGTCCCACAGGCAGCTGGTGTGGTCATCTGAGCACTAAGTAAGTGCCCACAGAGATTTGGGTTCCAAGAAAGCCCATAGCCTTCCTTCTGATGTCCACGGAGACACAAGTCTGGATCACACTCTCCAGAAGGATCTTGTTTAGAAGGGTGTTTTGTATAGTCAAAGACAAGAACATCACTGGAAGGAGTCTTAGTTGAGATGATACAAGAGTTCTGGGGCATATAACGGACCTTGTTTACTTCTCCTTCATGGTTGATCTTGATTTCTATTTCAATTTTTCCTCTAACTGAATAAAAACCTCCAAATTCTCCTTTCTCAGTGTTGTAGTGTGACGCATCAAACTGAGTGTCATCATTAGGGAGTTGCACACTGGTTATAACGAGATGGTTTTGTTCATCCAATGTGTATGTCCCCAGGACAAGCTGATGAATGCTGAAATCTTTCCCTTCTGGTCTGATTACATCTGGAAGCCACTGGGCAGTTAGGCTGGGCCACTCCACAGCATGGGTCAACACCAAATCATAAAGAAAAGGGGTGTTCTTTTTCCATTTTTTGTACTCCTCGTTGATCACTCGTTCTTCCACTGTGTCGTCAAAGGCTGCTTCCTTGTCGGCCATGGCAGGCAGGCAAGCTGGGGGAATCCTGGGGTCGAGTGTTGCGGGTGAGGGTGGGGGCACTATTATCTTTCAATTTAGTTATATAAAGGTTTTTTGTTTTCTTTTGGATGTTTTTGGTTTACCATTGGTTCCTTTCTTTTTCCTCTACTATCTTGAAGTAACTGTTCTGATGTGGGTATTGTTTACTGTATTTCAAGTACAGTTAGTTGAAGTAACTGTTCTGATGTAGGTATTGCAAGGTAACATTTACTAACTATTGAGGAGATTGTAAATTTTTTTTTCATTCTTAAAAATCAGTAATTTTACCATGATGTGCTTAAGTGTGTGTCAAACATTCCTGGATTTAGTGAGCCATTTTAATAAGAGAACTGAAGATTTTCTTTAGCTCAGGGAAACTTTATCTATTATCTGAAACATTATCACATTTTATTCTATCCCCCGACCCCTGCCACCCCTAGCCACCTACCCTTTGTGATCTGCCCTTGAAGCCCCTTATCTCTTCTCTTATTTGCCCTTTTGGGACCTGAGTTAGTGACCTAAGAGATTTAAAAAATCCTTGTGTTAAATTCATTTACTGAATTAAATTTTTTTTAGCAAATTCTTCCAATCCTGAGATTTACTGCATTTTTAATTTGAAAATCATGTCTATTTTTAGAAAATCTTTTGTCATACTGAATCTTAATCCGCATTCAATTTTTGTTCAGTAGTCATTTTTTTTCCTCTGGTAGCTCTGTCTCACAAGGTGGTGTGTTTGTTCATTCTCTCTCTGACTGCTGGGACATATTACGAGGAGAGTGTAGGTGGAGGAGAGGAAGATGACGGCTGCTCCATTAGGGGGATGTTGTTAGTAGCTGGATTGGAGTCAAGAGGAGAGGGAAAAAGGGGTTCCCATCTTTCCAGAATTTCATATAATCTTAGCATAGGATATTTTTCTTTGTTACTAGAAACAGAAGTCTCATAGATTTTATGTTAGGAATCATGGACCACTCAAATCAGGAAAATCATCTATTTTTTTTTCTTAAAAATGGCAAAAAAAATTGATTTTACCCCTTTAAATCTTTCTTCTTATCATTATTAGGTTGTTTTGTAGGATTTTGTGAACTGAAATTTTATCTGTAACAATGTCAGAATCTAGTGACACTACAACCACAGATAGGTAGTATTTTTGGCAATGAAAGTTTACGGTATAATCCAATATAAACTGCTATTGTTCAAATATTAATAACGTATAAAAACTAATGAAATATGAAGAAAAATCAGGCATGCCTCATTTGATTGTGTTTCACAGATATTTTTACTTTTTTAATAAATTGAAGGTTTGTGGCAATGCTGCATTGAGTAAGTCTATCATTGCCGTTTTTCCAACAGTATGTGCTCACTTCATTTCTCTGTGCCACATTTTGTTAATACTGATAAAATAATAATAATAAAGTTTGAAATAGTTCATAGTTCTCTTTTTTCCTCTCATTCTTATCAGATCATCACAACAGATAGGTATCTGTTGTGATGATCAGTGATCTTTGATGTTACTATTATAATTGAAGTTGTGGTAGATATAGCAAGACAACTAGAATTAGAGTGATATCTAAAGATGTGACTGAATTGCTGCAATCTCAAGATAAAACTTGAATGAATGAGGAGCTGCTTCTCATTGATGAGCAAAGGAAAGTAGTTTCTTGAGATGAAATCTCACAGTGAAGATGCTGTGAGCTTTGTAGAAATGACCACAAATGATTTAGAATATTACATAACCTTAGTTGACAAAGCAGTGGCAGGGCTTGAGAGGATTGACTCCAATTTTGAAAGCAGTTCTACACAAGGTAAAATGCTATCAAACAGCATTGCATGCTACAGAGAAATCTTTTGTGAAAGGAAGAATCAATCGATGCAGCAAACTTCATTGTTGTTTTTTCAGAAATGGCCACAGCTACCCCGACAACCTTCAGCAACCCCACCCTGATCAGTCCGTAGCCATCAACAATGAAGCAAGAGCCTTCACCAGCAAAAAGATTATGACTTGCTAAAAGTTCAGATGATTGTTAGCATTTTTTAATTTTATTTTATTTATGAGACGGAGTCTTGCTCTGTCACCAGGCTGGAGTGCAGTGGCGTAATCTTGGCTCACTGCAACCTCCACCTCCCAGGTTCAAGCGATTCCCCTGCGTCAGCCTCCCGAGTAGGTGGGACTACAGATGCACCACCATGCCCAGCTAATTTTTTGTGTGTGTTTTAGTAGAGACAGGATTTCACCTTGTTGGCCAGGATGGTCTCGATCACCTGACCTCGTGATCCGCCCCTCTTGGCCTCCCAAAGTGCTGGGATTATAGGCATGAGCCACTGCACCCGGCCCGATTGTTAGCATTTTTTTTGTTGTTGTTGTTAGCAATAAAATATTTTAAAATTAAAGTATGTACATTGTTATTTTAGACATGATGCTATTGCACACTTAACAGACTACAGTATATTGTAAACATAAATTTATATGCACTGGGAAACAAAAAATTCAAGTGACTCACTTCATTATGATTTCGCTTTATTGTGGTAGTCTGAAATTAAACCCATAATATGTCAGAGGTATTATATGCTTTTCTGATTCAAATATTTTAATTATGTAAGTCTGAGGTAACACAAACAATGTAGAACTGACCACAATTAATTAATTGTATTTATTATACTAGTCAAAATCCTGATTTAAGCCTATTATAACTCAGCTATTTGGCCTTAAAGTAAGATAAGGTATGCCTGTGTGTATTTACTAAATACATTTATCAGAGGTATGCCTGTGTGTATTTTACTAAAAAAAGTTTTCATCATATTAATTTCTATATTTTATTTTTCTCTCTGTGTTCCCTGGCTGAGTGTCAGAGCAGTAATTATTCCCTAAAAAAGGCAACAGGCTTCTTCCAAAGGCGTTTCTATGGCACCTCCATAAATCAGCAAGGAAAGGCACCTAAGAGAGCAGTAAATCAGCACCCTGGGCTCTGTCCTCTCATTATACTCCCTTCCTGAGCACGATGAGGCTATATTTATTCTCTAAAGCAGTCCATCTACGTAAATATTTGAAAAAATGTATATATTTTTGGCTTTTGGCTTTATGAAAGCTTTAGGAATATGTTTTACTTCTTGTACATAGAAATCTATTTCTGTCTGCATATTTTGACTGATGTATGAGTACATATGATCTGTGAGCATAGTTCTCTTTTGTCCTCTCATTCTTATCCATCTACTTCTTGATACGTGTTTAATTTCAATTTGGTATACATACATCCACTGAGTAACTTGATACATCATAAATATTGTAGGTATTGGTGATACTAAAATAAATATAGCATGATTCCTGTGTGCATATATAATTTGTTTGTAAACACTGTAGGAGTGAAATGAATTTTTTCTTTTCCCCTCTGAAGGTTTCAATCTGGTGAAATAAACTGACAATACATTAATAGGCAAAAAGGCATACAAATTTGTTAATGTGCAAGTGTGCATGGGAGCCATGTAAGATATGAGACTCAAAGAAGGGAACAGAGATGGTTGAAGGTTAAAATAGCTTGAAGGAATAGGGGCTTCAGACTTTTGGTGGACTTTACAGGTGACTGTAAGTTATGGGAGGGAAAGGGGAGGAATCTCATGGTAACCAAAGTTTATCTTACTACACAGATAAAAGTCTCTTAGGTAATAAAAGTTCTTTAAGGATCAACCTTCAGGAGAAGATGCCATCTGGATGTGGTGATTACTTCTTTTTTTTTTTTTTTTTTTTTTTTTGAGACAAAGTCTTGCCCTGTTGCCCAGGCTGGAGTGCAGTGGTGTGATCTTGGCTCACTGCAACCTCCACCTCCCAGGTTCAAGTGATTTTCGTTCCTCAGTCTCCTGAGTAGCTGGGACTACAGGTGCATGTCACCATGCCCAGCTATTTTTTTTCTTTTTTCGTATTTTCAGTAGAGGTAAGGTTTCGTCATGTTGGCCAAGCTGGCCTCAAACTCTTGGCCTTGAGTGATCTGCCCACCTTGGCCTCCCAAAGTGCTGAGACTACAGGTGTGAGCCCCACTGTGCCCAGCCTGGATGTAGTGATGACTTTTAATGTCCTTTCTGGTAAATAATCTTTTCTAGTTGTTTGATGAGATTCCTAGGGAAGGGGTTCAAGACAATTGCATTCCTTTTGGAAGAACTTCCTTCAGTCAGATAAGGGAACTTGAGAAAGCTCCTCTCTGCACTAGCAAAAGGAAAGAGAAGAAAGGGCAGGAGGTCAGAGAGAGCGACCTTAGTTCTGAGGCTCATTACTGAGGCTTTTCAATATTCTTTGTTCAAAGCACTCAGCATGCCAACATGCCATATTGTAGGGTATTATCTTCTGAGCCCCAACAACACATAGCACATATTCTAGCTAGATATTTAGTATGCTCGTCAAGTCAGAATATTTTTAGATGATAGAATACAAGTAAAGCCCTAATTTTTATTAAGCCTTTAGAGAGGTGGTGAGTTTACAAGTCAGCCATGTGAAATTAAATTATACAGCACTCTGGAGAGGTGGAGAAATAGAAATTATTCCCTTTTATCTTTATCCTTTTATCCTGACCCAGCCACAAAAGTCAGTTGTCTGTTTCCCTGACAAGTTAAAAATTATCCCAAGGCCCTAAGAATATTTATTACCCCTTTTCCTGTTTTATAAAATGATATCTAACTTTAAAAAGCATTTGTAGCCTAATGGAAATAATGCTGTAGTGGGCAACATATACTAATTTGAGATCTTGGCCTATTGAACCCAATAAAAGCTCAAAATTTATTTATTTTGATGATTTGATCTAGGTCACATCTGAAACTTTAATTCAATGGAATTGAAAATATGTTTTTTTAATTATTTTAATCATATAAAAACTTTAAAGAAAGTTATCATCTTTTGTAAGCTAGTTTTGTAGAAACCATTAACTAATCTTTATCAACACAGATCTACCTCAAAATTGTAATTGCAGTCCAGTTGTAATTACCTAAAAAGGTACAAAGGGATGGTATTTGAATTTGGCATGTATGTTCACATATTTATAGTAGAAGCTAAGTTTTAGAATAATAAATGTATAATATATTTTCTAGGTGTAAACTGATATGAAGGATTTACCTATAATCTGAAAAACAAATATGTAATTGATTTTAGATAATTTCAGGAATGGAATAATTTGCATAGTTGTTATTAAATAGTGACATTATTTAGCCTTGTTTGAACAAAGTAGATAAAGGATCCAAAGTGAAGCAATATTTAGAAATAAAAATTTTTAAGGAAATAGCTTATAAGCCAAAGTAAATATTTTCAAAGTGTCTTATGTTGTCAAAATGATAACATAAAGCAAGCTGGAGACTTTGCTCTTCAAATCTACACAACAGGACTGGCGCCTATCAATGAACCTTTCTACATGTAAATATCTAGAAAGGAGCCTTCTGGGGAGTCTATTCTGGGGTAGATCTGTGTTTAAGACAACTGAGTGGACTGGAAATGGACTCTCCAGTCACTTGCAAAACATGTTATTTCATTATTTATCTTTAACATTTTAAGTTTAATTAGCATTTTTTTTTCAGGCTTATATATACATTAGCTCAAGTGCAGCCAAACTTGCTTTCAATTTGTGAAAAGGAACTTCAACTTTAAGTAGGAAAAAAGAATGTACAATGTATATTGTTAGAGTTCTTTAAAAGAAACCTTGAAACGATCCATAATACAATGATTTTTCAGGATTTGAGCATTAAGCTATACATCTGAAATATTCCTTCATAAATAAATAAATTATGTTTTGCCTTAAAGAATGAGATAATTTTGAGCCAAGCACAGGGGCTTATGCCTGTAATCCCAACACTTTAGGAGGCCAAGGCAGGAGGACCGCTTGAACAAGCCAGGAGTTTGAGACCAGCATGGACAACAAAATGAGACCCTGTCTCTACAAAAAATGTTTAAAGACTTAACTGAACCTGGTGGTGCATGCCTGTGGTCCCAGTTACTTGGGAGGCTGAGGCAGGAGGATCGCTTGAGCCTAGGAGTTTGAGACTGTAGTGAGCTATGATTGTGCCACTGCACTGCAGCCTTGGTGACAGATTGAGACCCTGTGTCTAAAAACAAATAAATAAATAAATTAAAAAAAATTGAATGGGATCATTTATCTTACTTTAAGGCCAAATAGCTGAGTTATAATAGGCTTAAATCAGGAGTTTGACTAGTATAATAAATACAATTAATTAATTGTGGTCAGTTCTACATTGTGTTACCTCAGACTTATGTAATTAAAATATTTGAATCAGAAAAGCATATTTTTTGTGTTAATTTGATAAGCATGGCTGCCAAATACTCTGTTTGCCTTTTTTTCTTTTTCTTTTTTTCCCTCCCTTGTTTCTTTGTGTTATGAACCAAATGATAACTTCCTCTTACAGATCCAGAGAGCTGTTCGTCTTTGAGTAGGAACATACAGAAAAGACGTAAGGCATTTCTTTTCTCACATTTTAAAATAAAGAGCCTCAGCATTTCCAGAGTGAATTTTAAGGTTTATGGCTCTGAAAATTGCAAGTTAAAAAGCACATTAGCAATTATTTTTGAATTGCACTAGAAATTATGGACCAGTTCAAAACAGATTGCTGATGTTCTAAAGTGAACCACAGGTGCAACAAAAATCTTCTGCAATAGAGATTTTTGTTATGATTTTATCCTTATCCTATATCCTTTTTTCCTGCAACATTACTGCATTTTCTTTTAAACAATGCTATTACAGATAATTCCCAAAGATATAATGTAGTCTTCTGCTCAGAACAGGATAAAAATGGAAAATTCTAGGTTCTATTTCTGAGCTTTGCTCATAGCGGTTTAGTAGAAAGCTTAGTATCTGGGTCTCCCCATTACAAAAAATAAAGTTTAATTACTATTTATCCTGAAAGATACTTAATTATCAGTAGGAAAGGCTTGATGCTATTCAATGATCCTCAGATCAAAGCAATTTAAACATGCATTATTTTAACAATATACAAGTATGAAAGCTAAGAAATTATCTAGTGCGAGGCTCATCACCCCCCTCTATGATTTTTTTTTCTCAGAATTCATGGGTAACCTAGATTCTGAAGTGGAGATATACAAAGAACATCCATTTGAGGCAGAGGAAATTATTTCCTTTGCCTTTTGTTTTGTTTTCTGCATAAAAGGAATCACAGATATTTCCACATGAAAGGATTTATTTATCCAGGAATACTTTCGAACTTACACTATTTTTTGGGGGGCCCAAATCATTTAGAAGATTTTTATATGGGGGAGAAAACAATAACCACATTGTGACAGGATGGTAGAGTCATTGTCAGTAGCATTTAGTTAAAGGACAGTACGATGGACAAGACATAGGCTTTAAAGTAGAAATAAAGTGCTTGCTTTGGTCCATAGTTATTGCTGGCTTAATTGGATATTTCATCATATGCTGTGATGGACTTTTGGTTATCATGTTTATGTGTCTTTTACCTATTTGAATCTTTACACAAATGAAAGGCTCTTTTTGAGAGTGGGTTTTTTTTTTTTTTTAAAGGGGAAATCATATTGGACTTGAGCACTATAATTGATTGTTTAGCTCATAAATATAGAAAATACAGGTACTATAAATAATGTTTTTACCTCTTGTTTTTGATCTCTTTTTCTTTCGTTTTCAGCCTTTCAGAGCTGAAGCATCCCATGTAATTGCTTTTACTTTCCCACATCTCAGTCATTCTGCTCTATCTTTTTCTGTTAGTGATTATATTAGCTCAACAGTATTTAACTACAGTTTTCATGGTCAATTATTAATGAATGTTTCATTTTATCTGTGGTATTACTTTGCCAACAAAACTGCTGTGAAGTTAATTACTTGGCAGTTTTTTAAAGTATAAAATGGAAAGAAATGGCTTTTGCTGTTAAATTGTCATGCAGACCCACTTTTGTCATTACAGGATACAAGAGATCCCTTTGATAACTGAGCCAAGCAGGTCAGCCACTCTCTATTGTTCAAATGGTTGATAAAATATGCACAAAACTGAAATCTGGTGGGGTCTGGAACCTGTGGCTTTGCAATTTGGAAGGCGTTTGATTATGTCCTTTGTAGATTGTTCATGTTCTTTGAACCTGTTTGAAAAAATGTTTATATTTCAACCTGCTGAGTTCCTAACATTTAAAAGAGAATAAGTGGCTTCCATAAATCCAGGCAACCCAGGCAGAAAAGGTTTGCCTCACAAACAATGGCTGAGAGAGACACCTGGCCTCAGGCACATCAAGAGGCTGTATTGTTAGGCCTGGGCATTGTGTAGAGTGGATGTTCAGGAAAAGGCAATTCCTAAAAGGTTACTGTACTAAAAGCCTTAAGACTCTTATCTGTCTTGACTCATTTCAAACATTCTTCTTCACAAAAACATCAAGGCAATACCTTTAAGATTTTTAATTAGAAGTTGTTTGTGTGCTGTGAGGGAAAGCACAAGCATAATCTCCACCTTAGGGTGGCCAGATACAGTGAATAAAAGTACACAGCACTCAATAAAATGTGAATTTCAGAAAGTAAGTATGAACCACATGTCCTGTATTTTATCTGGAAGCCTTACATTTTAGTTCTATTTCTTTTCATCCCACATAAAAGTTACATGTTTTGCTGTCACATATAATGAGTAAGGGGAGAATCCATGAACACAACATAAGTGAAATATGATTATGTTATTTTGTTAACACTTTAATTTGAGGTAGTTTTGAGAGTTTTTCTAAACATCTCAGTGCTGGTTTCCAATCTTGGGTACCTATCGGATTCTTATCTAGAGAACTAAGAAAACTCACTGACATATGCTCAAGGTGGTCTTAATGATCCACTTAGTTTGTCTAGACTTTAGATACGTTTCTTAACTATAGGCCCTTGACCTCCCTTTTCTCTTTTCTTTTCTTTTCTTTCTTTCTTCTTTCTTTTTTTTTTTATTATACTTTAAATTCTGGGATACATGCGTATAACATGTAGGTTTGTTGCATAGGTATATATGTGTCATGGTGGTTTGCTGCACCCATCAACCCATCATCTAGGTTTTAAGCCCCACATCTATTAGGTATTTGTCCTAATGCTCTCCCTCCCATTGCCTCCTACCCCCTCAACAGGCCCCCCTGTGTGTGATGTTCCCCTTCCTGTGTCCATGTGTTCTCATTGTTCAACTCCCACTTATGAGTGAGAATATGCAGTGTTTGGTTTTCTGTTCCTGTGTCAGTATGCTGAGAATGATGGTTTCCAGCTTCATCCATATACCTGCAAAGGACATGAATTCATTCTTTTTTATGGCTGTATATTATTCCATTGTGTATATGTGCCACATTTTTTTTTTATCCAGTCTATCATTGATGGATATTTGGGTTGGTTCCAAGTCTTTGCTATTGTGAATAGTGCTGCAATAAACATACGTGTGCATACGTCTTTATAGTAGAATGATTTATAATCCTTTGGGTATATACCCAGTAATGGGATTGCTAGGTCAAATGGTATTTCTGGTCCTAGATCCTTGAGGAATTGCCACACTGTCTTCCACTATGGTTGAACTAATTTACACTCCCACCAACAGTGTAAAAGCCTTCCTATTTCTCCATATCCTCTCTAGCATCTGTTGTTTCTTGACTTTTTAATGATCACCATTCTAACTGCTGTGAGATGGTATCTCATTGTGGTTTTGATTTGCATTTCTCTAATGACCAGTGATGAGCTTTTTTTCATATGTTTGTTGGCCACATAACTGTTTTCTTTTGAGAAGTCTGTTCATATCCTTCACCCACTTTTTGATGGGGTTGTTTTTTTTTCTTGTATATTTGTTTAAGTTCTTTGTAGATTCTGAATATTAGACCTTTGTCGGATGGATACGTTGCAAAAATTTTCTCCCATTCTCTGGATTGCCTGTTCACTCTGATGATAGTTTCTTTTGCTGTGCAGAAGCTTTTTAGTTTAATTAGACACCGTTTGTCAATTTTGGCCTTTGTTGCAATTGCTTTTGGTGTTTTAGTCATGAAGTCTTTGCCCATGCCTATGTCCTGAATGGTATTGCCTAGGTTTTCTTCTAGGGTTTTTATGGTTTTAGGTTTTACATTTAAGTCTTTAATCCATCTTAAGTTAATTTTTGTATAAGGTGTGAGGAAGGGGTCCAGTTTCAGTTTTCTGCATATGGCTAGCCAGTTTTACCAGCACCATTTATTAAATGGGGAATCCTTTCCCCATTTCTTGTTTTTGTCAGATTTGTTGAAGACCAGATGGTTGTATATGTGGGGTGTTATTTCTGAGGACTTTATTCTGTTACATTGGTCTATATATCCGTTTTTGTTTCAGTACCATGCTGTTTTGGTTACTGTAGCCTTGTAGTATACTTTGAAGTCAGGTAGTGTGATGCCTCCAGCTTTGTTCTTTTTGCTTAGGATTGTCTTGACTATATGGGCTCTTTTCTGGTTCCATATGAAATTTAAAGTAGTTTTTTCTAATTCTGTGAAGAAAGTCAATGGTAGCTTGATGGAAATAACATTGAATCTATAAATTATTTTGGGCAGTATAGCCATGTTCATGATATTGATTCTTCCTATCCATGAGCATGGAATGTTTTTCCATTTGTTTGTGTCCTCTCTTATTTCCTTGAGCAGTGGTTTATAGTTCTCCTTGAAGAGGTACTTCATGTCCCTTGTAAGTTGTATTCCTAGGTATTTTATTCTCTTTGTAGCAATTGTGAATGGGAGTTCACTCATGATTTGGCTGTCTGTCTGTTGTTGGTGTACAGGAATGCTTGTGATTTTTGCACATTGATTTGCATATCCTGAGACTTTGCTGAATTTGCTTATAATCTTAAGGAGTTTTTGGGCTGAGACAATGGGGTTTTCTAAATATACAATCATGTCATCTGTAAACAGAGACAATTTGACTTCCTCTCTTCCTATTTGAATACACTTTATTTCTTTCTCTTGCCTAATTGCCCTTGCCAGAACTTCTAATACTCTGTTGAATAAGAGTGGTGAGAGAGGGCATCCTTGTCTTGTGACAGTTTTCAAAGGGAATGCTTCCAGCTTTTGCCCATTCAGTATGATATTGGCTGTGGGTTTGTCATAAATAGCTCTTGTTGTTTTGAGACATATTCCTTCAATACCTAGTTTATTGAGTGTTTTTATCATGAAGCCATGTTAAATTTTATCAAAGGCCTTTTCTGCATCTGTTGAGATAATCATGTGGTTTTTGTCATTGATTCTGTTTATGTGATGGATTAAGTTTATTGATTTGGGTATGTAGAGCTAACTATCCTAAATATATATGCACCCAGTACGGGAGTACCCAGATTCATAAAACAAGTTCTTAGAGACCTACAAAGAGACTTATGCTCCCACACAATAATACAGTGAGACTTTAACACCCCACTGTCAATATTAGACAGATCAATGAGACAGAAAATTAATAGGAATATTCAGGACTTGAACTCTGCTCTCGTCCAAGTGGACCTAGTAGACATCTACAGAACTCTCCACTCCAAATCAACAGAATGTACATTCTTCCGAGCGCCACATAGCACTTATTCTAAAATCAACCACATAATTGGAAGTAAAACACTCCTCATCAAATGCGAAAGAATGGAAATCATAACAGTCTCTCAGACCACAGTGCAATCAAATTAGAACTCAGGATTAAGAAACTCACTCAAAACCACACAACTGCATGGAAACTGAACAACCTGCTCCTGAATGACTACTAGGTAAATAACGAAATTAAGTTAGAAATAACAAAGTTTTTTGAAACCAATGAGAACAAAGAGACAATGTACCAGAATCTCTGGGACACAGCTAAAGCAGTGTTAGGAGGCAAATTTATAGCACTAAAATGCCCATATCAGAAAGCTGGAAACATCTAAAATGGACATCCTAACATCACAATTAAAAGAACAAGAGAAGTAAGAGCAAACAAACTTAAAAGCTAGCAGAAGACAAAAAGTAACTAAGATCAGAACTGAAGGAGATAGAGATACCAAAAACCCTTCAAAAAATAAATCATTGAATCCAGGAGCTGGCTTTTTGAAAAGGTTAACAAAGTAGATTGACCACTAGCCAGACTAATAAAGAAGAAAATAGAGAAGAATCAAATAGACACAATAAAAAATGATAAAGTGAAGATTACCACTGATCCCGCAATAATATAAACTACCATCAGATAATACTATAAACACCTCTATGCAAATAAACTAGAAAATCTAGAAGAAATGGATAAATTCCTGGACACCTACACCCTCCCAAGACTAAACCAGGAAGAAGTTGAATTCCTGAATAGACCAATAGCAAGGTCTGAAATTGAGGCAGTAATTAATAGCCTACCAACCAGAAAAAGCCCAGGACCAGACAAATTCACAGCTGAATTTTACAAAGAAGAGCTGGTACCATTCCTTCTGAAACTATTCCAAACAATAGAAAAAGAGCGACTCCTCCCTAAGTCATTTTATGAGGCCAGCATCATCCTGATACCAAAACCTGGCAGAGCCACAACAACAAAAGAAAATTTCAGGCCAATATTCCTGATGAACATTGATGTGAAGATCCTGAATAAAATACTGGCAAACCAAATCCAGCAGCATATCAAAAAGCTTATCCACCATGATCAAGTTGGCTTCATCCCTGGGACCTCCCTTTTTTTTTTTTTTTTTTTTTTAAATAACATTTACTTTAAAGTTACAACTGTAAATTCTTCCTCCCTTCCTTTGAGATATAAATATTTTTCCAGCCTCTTGACATTTTTTACCACCCACTGATGTCTTTCTCAAGGACCTGAGGCCATCCTTTTGAAATGTAGTAAAGGAAGATAGTGTCACTATTTTCCAGTCTCTGTGAGCGGTAGGAGCCTAACTTCAATAGGAGACAATTAGCAAACACAGATGACCTAATCACATTGGCAATCATTCTGCTAAGAAGCTAGCTCACCCCAGTGCTTAAAGGCTCTTCTACCTTTTATTTCAGTAGAAGTCTTCCTCCCCTACTACAGTAGCCTGAATAAACTCATCTTACTATTTTTAACAAGTGTCCAGTGCATTTTTACTTAGATAGGACAAAGCCTACGCCTTGGACTTTACCAAGTCCCCTGGGTGATTCTAATACTGACCCAAGTTTGAGAACCCCTTTAGCTTTTGTAGTATTTTTCAAAACACCACAGTAATAAGTCTTGAAATTTATTTGTGGTTATAAGACAAATTTGTAATGCCGGAGAAATACTCCCTTACTTCAATGGCATTTTTTAAAATTAAAAAAAAAAAAAGGGCCAGGTGTGGTGCCACCTGTAATCTCAGCACATTGGAAAGCTGAGGTGGGAGGATTGCTTGAGGACAGGAATTCAAGATCAGCCTGGGCAACACAGGGAGACAGCCATCTCTACAAAAAAAAAAAAAATTTAGCTGGATGTGGTGATGTGCACTTGTAGTCCCAGCAACTTGGGAGGCCGAGGTGGGAGGATAGCTTGAGCCCAGGTGTTTGGGGTTACAATAAGCCATAATTGTGCCACTGCATTCCAGCCTGGGAAATAGAATAAGACCCTGTCTCTTAAGAAATGATAATAATAACAAATGTTAAATAAAATAGTTATTACTCACTTTGTCTTTTTCTTTAACTCAATCTAGCCATAATTCTTAACTTTAACCAATTGGATATTCTTGGTTCCTAAGGAATGTGGCCTAGGTCTCTCAGTGAGAGTGGCTTAGCATGGCACTTACTGTAAGTAGACAGAGAAATGGGATTCAGTGAAGAGGAGAGGTATGGAGTGTGTTAAAGCCCCTTGGGTGGTTCTGCTTTTCCAATCCACCTCCTCACTGAGAAAACTTGCTCGTGACGTTCTTGGGTTGTCCCTTGGTTTGTCTGGGTAAGTTGCTCAGAAAGGAGATAATGTCCTACTCATTTGTTTTCTCACTTCCTAGCACAGTGCCTGGCAATAAGTTAAAGCTTAATAAAGTATTCTTTTTTTCTCTAGTCTTTTGTAGGATTTTTCCCACCTTCTCAGTGTGTATCCTAAGCCATCTTCTTCTTCTTCTTTTTTTTTTTTGGCCTGGCATGGTATTAAAATTAATTTAACTTTGCATGTAAAATTTTTCTGTGGGACTAGAACATTCCAAATTAGAATAGGAACGAAATTAGTAACTTTGTATTTTATTTCTCTAGCAAAAGAATTACCAATTTTTATGGGTAAAAGCTGGAAGCATTCCTCTTGAACACAAGAACAAGACAAGGGCCCTTTCTCACCAGTCCTATTTAACATAGTAGCGGAAATCCTGGCCAGAGCAATCAGTCAAGAGAAAGAAATAAAAGGCATCCAAATAGCAAGAGAGGAAGTCAAACTATCACTGTTTGCAGATAGTAAGTTTCTACACATAGGAAACCCCATAGTCTCTGCCTAAAATCTCCTTAATCTGTTAAACAACTTCAGCAAAGTTTCAAGATACAAAATCAATGTACACACATCAGTAGTATTCCTATATACCAACAACAACCAAGCTGAAAGCCAAATCAAGAATGCAATCCTATTCACAGTAGCCACAAAAAGAATAAAATACCTAGGAATACAGCTAACGAGGGAAGTCAAAGATCTCTACAGTGAGAATTACAAAACACTGTTGAAAGAAATCGGAGGTGACACAAGCAAATGGAAAACATTTCCATGCTCATAGATAGGAAAAATCAATACGGTTAAATTGGCCATACTGCCCAAAGCAATGAGCAGATTCAGTGCTATTCCTATCAAACTACCAATGACATTCCTTGCAGAATGATAAAAAACTATTTTTAAATTCATATGGAACAAAAAAAGAGCTCAAATAGCCAAGGCAACTCTCAGCAAAAAGAACAAAGCTGGAGGCATAATCTTACCTGACTGCAAACTATAGTACAAGGCTACAGTAACCCAAACAGCATGCTACTGTCACAAAAACAGACACATAGACAAATGGAACAGAATAGATAGCCCAGAAATAATGCTGCACACCTACAACCATGTGATCTTTGACAAAGTCAACAAAAACAAGCAATGGGGAAAGGACTCCGTATTTAATAAATGGTGCTGTGCTAACTGGCTCACCATATGCACAAGATTGAAACTGGACCTCTTCCTTATACCATATACAAAAATCAACTCAAGATGGATTAAAGACTTCAATATAAAACCTCAAACTATAAAAACCCTAGAAGATAACCTAGGAAATCTCATTCTAGAAATAGGACCTGACAAAATTTTCATGACAGAGTCATCAAAAGCAATTGCAACAAAAATGAAGATTCACACATGGGACTTAATTAAACTGAAGAGCTGCTGCACAGCAAAAGAAACTATCAACAGAGTAAACAGACAACCATAGAATGGGAGAAAATATTTGCAATCTATGCATCCAACAAAGGTCTAGTATCCAGAATCTATGATGAACATAAACAAATCTGCAAGCAGAAACAAACAACCCCATTAAAAAATGGGCAAAAAATATGAACAGATACTTTTCAAAAGAAGATGTATATGTGGCCAACAAACATATGAAAAAATGTTCAACGTCACTAATCATTAGAGAAATCCAAATGAAAACCACAATGAGTTACCATCTAACATTTCAGAATGGCTATTATTAAAAAGTCAAAAAATAACAGATGCTTATGAAGTGGAAAAAAGTGGAGATAAGAGAATGCTTATACACTGCTGGTGGGAATGTAAGTTAGTTCAGCCCTTGTGGACAGCTATTTGGCTTTCTCAAAGAATTCCTCAAAGAATTCAAAGCAGAATTACCATTTGACCAAGCAATCCCATTATTGGGTATGTACCTAAAGAAATATAAATTGTTCCACCCTAAAGACGCATGCACATGTATATTCATCACAGCAGTATTCACAATAGCAAAAACATGGAATTAACCTAAATGTCCATCTACAGTAGACTGGATAAAGAAAATGTGGTACATATACACCAAGGAATACTACATAGCCATAAAAAACAATGAGATCATATCCTTTGCAGCAACATGGATAGAGTTGGAGGCCATTATTCTAAGTGAATATGGGAACAGAAAACCAAATATTACCTGTTCTGACTTATAAATAGGAGCTAAACATTCAGTACATATGGACACAAAAGAGATAACAACAGACATCAGGACCTACATAAGGTTGGAGGGAGGAAAGAGGGTAAGGATTGAAAAACTACCTATTGGGTACTATGTCTGTTACCTGGGTGGCAAAATAATCTGTACACCAAACCCTTTTGACACGCAGTTTACCTGCACATGTACTCCTAAACCTAAAAGAAAAGGAAAAAAAAAGTTGGAGACAAAAAAACTCACCAATTCTAAATCACTTAATACATTTAAAAATTAGTCATAAAATCTAAGTACGTATTTCCAGTTGAGGAAAGAAAGGCAGAATACCTCAGTTGCTCCATGTCAGAGAGTCAAGTTGTGCTGAGTTAAGACTTGACCTCTGTCTCATTATTGTCCTAAGTTATTCATTCATTAAACAGTTACTGAGAGCCTTTTATGTGCCACGTACTATATTAGCTACTGGAGATACAAAAGCAAATATTTTAAATAATCAAAAGGATCATAATCTAATTTAAAGAGAATGTATTCAAGTGCACAGTTTGAGGGTAGCCCTCCTAGAAACACTAACTTTAAGGAATGGAGTCAGCCTTTGGAAGTAGAGAAGTTTCATTTATACTTCCTTGTCACAGGGGGCTGTTCTGCACAATGCAGGATGTTTAGTAGCGTCCCTGACCAAATGCTAGTAGCACCCACCAGATGCCAGTAGCATTCTCCAATTTTAACAAACAAAAATGTCCCCAGACATGGCCAGATGTCCTCTGTGGGGTAAAATCACCCCAAGTTGAGAACCAATATACTAGAAGAAATATTTAGATTTGCCTCACTGAGGTGAAATCATACAGAATCATTATATTTTAGGTTTTATTTAAATACTCTACGTGTTAAGGACTATATATTTAAAATGACCAATAAATAATGAGCTTTGAATACAAGAAAAGAAAGCAAGCATACTAATAATTTTAAAGAATATTATCTGCTTATTGAACAATTCAGAAGGACACATCTGTGTTTATTTAGTCACTATGAAATTTATGGATGGATTGCATGACAGCAATACAACCTTTCTTGGCAAATTGTCATTATCCTTTCATCTGGGTCTGTATATCACATAGGCGTCAGGCCTATGGAGATTAAGATTTGATTAAAAAGCTCTGTGTGTGCATAAGTACATGATACTTACTAACAAATTCTTTTAAAAAACTTTATAACAAAGTCTATGTTTAAAAATAACAACACAAATCTTTATAAATCATTCAAATAAAGTTGCATGCATTTCTAGCTGAACATAACAGAAACATCTTGACACAGTTTCTTTTTCTCTAGAGAAATTCCAGGTATGGAGTTTCCTAGACTGAGTTATGAATCCTGCAAGATTGTTACAGCTCTCCAATAACTCATTTTCTGAATTTCCTTCCCCCTTTAGTAGAGGCACTTCTTCCTTTTAGGTATATAGCATACTTAGGCTTTCTTGTGGCATACATTCCCCTACACCCTACCCTAGTAGGGTAGGTAAGTCTCTGATTCCTGTGATAGATGCTATTTTCCTGCTTGACTTTGAATCAGCCTCAGTAAACCAAGCACGTGCACATTAATTTGAATTATCACAAGAAAGACTCCATACCTCTCTTCCCTACCTTGATTTCATACATCATCGACCACGTAAGGAGATGGAGGAGGGAAGGGTAAGGGGTTCACTGCAATTAAGTGTTGATAGTTTCTTTTGAGCACTTTCTTTGGATTTATTGAGGTTGAGCCTATTAACCCAAACAAGGAAAAAAAGTGACTAATTATCTTTAATTTTGGAATTGGATGTAAACTCTACTGTTGAAAAATACATTTAATAACACTTCCTCTTAACCTATGTGAATTTGAAAAGAAGTTACTTCTTGTGCTCTAGGAACTTGCTATGGTTTGGATGTTTGTCTCCCCAGATCTCATGTTGAAACTTGATCCCCAGTGTTGGAGGTGAGACCTAATGGGAGGTGCTTGAGTGATTCTTGGGTGTAGATCTCTCATGAATTGTTTGGTCCCATCCTCATGGTAATGAGTGAGTTCTTGCACCATTAGCTCCTATGAGAACTGGTTGTTTAAAAAACCTAGCATCTCCCTGCCCTCCTCCCTTGCTGCTTCTCTCACCATGTGATTTCTGCACATGCCCTTTGTTTCCCACCTTGAGTGGAAGACACCTAAAGCCCTTACTGGGAGCAGATACTAGTACCATACTTGTTTTACAGCCTGCAGAACCATGAGCCAAATAAACCTCTTTTCTTTATAAGTTACTCAGCCTCAGGTTATTCCTTTATAGTAACACAAATAGGCTAAGACAGAACTAGAACCTAAACTCTGTTTCCAAAACGTGTGCGCAAGTTTGAATAAAATCAAGTAAGTGTTAGAAAAAGATTCTTATTGCGTTTGCATGAATGTGTACACATATGCCTGTGTATATCTACAATCTACACACACATGTGTGTCCACTTATATGTAGGAAACGGTCAATATTTTTTGACAAATTTATATTTTAGGCATTTACATGGTGGTGGTTTCTCTACATGCATATATGAATAATTACACTCTAACTCACTTCAGTAATTTTATAATTTGCCTCATAGCAAAATACCTCTTTCCATTTTAAAGAAATTACTGTGGCCTTTTAAAAAAGAATATAAGGGAAATAATGACTTTTTTTTCTGTATTTTATACCCATACCACATCCAAAAGCTTTAGGATTCAAACACAAAGTAGCAAGCATTTACGTAGAAAGCAAATCCAAAGAAAAGAGGATTTATATGAGACCAACTAACCAAGCAGGGATTGAATTCCAAATTCAGAGGAAAAAAGGTTTATTAAAATATGTCAGCTCATCAATTTCTAGATTATGCTTTTGAAATAGCCAGTGGCCCTCTTTCATGTGATTTCAGATAGTAGTTCATTTTCTTTCAGGTAATAGGATTGAATAAATAGAGAAGGAAGTATTTCTACCTATTTAATCCCTTGATGCTGGCATATATCAGCCTGTTACATAACTATGCTTCCATTTATAGTTTAAGTATTTTTTTGTTACATTTAAATTATAAGAATGATTTCAGTCCATGGCCATTTAAAGTGGATCCAAGCTGAGATCAAATTGAGAATAAGCCTCTTACTGTTTGCTGAGCTAGTGGTCTGGTGACCTATAAGAACACCTGTCAGCATACCTTGTTATGAATAAGATATTTTGTTCTAGGTTAAGGCAGAATTTTTAATTGCAGAAGTACCTGCAGGTGGTGTGTGGCAAATAACAATGGAGAGAGCAAAATGGCTACAGCCTATTTGGATTTTTGAGCCTCGATAGAATGATGGAGGGGAAAAAGCTGAAGGAGCTGCTTTCATGAGAAATGCCATGATGCTTGTGGAATGAGCTGGGCTGCTTCAAGGACAATGACAGAGGACTGCATAGAGTATGTGAGGGGGTCATTTTTCCAACCTCAGATAACAATTGGCATAGACTACTATTCCAAGACTGTCTTCTTTGGGAACATGGAGGTGGCACCTTAACATGGGCCCAGGCATTTCATGGAAGTTATGGGAGGGTATGGCTGTGATTGGCAGTTTTCCTGCAGGAAGGCAACCCTCAGAGGGAGAAGTTGGAAGCAGATAACATAGCAGATTTATTCTTCCCCTGTGGGACACTTCCAGAAATACCTGGGCAAGGGACCCTTCCAGAGATTGGAGTCCTTCCTCCATGAGCAAAAAGACAGTGAACCACTGAATATTGGATATCTGCTGATGCACCTTCCTCTCTTTCCACAGGCTGGTGACATCTAGAGACATCCAAGTTATCTTGAAACTCTATAGATAATGGAGTTTCAAAATTACTGTGATGGCCTTTTTTAAATGAAGGGTGCATTGAATTACAAACAAATAAAAAATACGAACAACACCTGAGTGATGTTCACAAATACAGTTTTGTTTTCACAGTCTGGACTCATTATACAACTGCTGAATTATTTTTGTGCATACAAATGACCTTAATAATTTGATGAGGATGAGGGAGAAAATGTAGTTCAGAAACAATTGGTCACGATTCTGAAAATACAGCCTGTGTTAGTCTATTCTTGCATTGCTATGAAGAAATACCTGAGACTGGGTTATTTATAGATAAAAGAGGTTTAATTGGCTCATGGTTCTTCTGGCTGTACAGGAAGCATAATGTTTTCTGCTTCTGGGGAGGCCTCAGAAAGCTTCTAATCGTGGTGGAAGACAAAGGGGGAATGAAGCACTTTACATGGCCAGAGAAGGATGAAGAGAGAGATGGGGGAGGTGCCACACACTTTTAAATGACCAAATTTCGTGAGAACTCACTCATCCACTATCATGAGAGTAGCACCAAGAGGATGGTGCTAAACCATTCATGAGAAACTGCCCCCATGATCCAGTCACCTCCTGCCACGCCTCACCTCTAACATTGGGTATTACAATTCAACATGTGGTTTGGTGGAGACACAGATCCAAACTGTATGAAAATCTGTAAGTTGTATCTGTTTATTCAGAAAGATTATATTCTCAGTTTCAGAATTTAAGAATTACATATTAAATTATCAGATAACTTATTTGGTAGAAAAGTTAGGATTACAATTCTATTTTTATTTAACTAGTGCTAGAACACACATTAAAGCACATTTTATTTTAGTGTGCTATACTGAAAATTGGAGATCTGTTAGCTGGACAATGGACTAATTTTCAATATGCCCTGTACTATATGACTTTATGAAACTTGGAAAATACTTCAGATTGGGGAACAGTATGAGGTATACTATGGGAGGTTTTGAGTCACTATTAGTATATTTTAAGTTCATGCTTTTGTTTTGCAGTGATTTGGGGCTGTGATTGCTCAGAAACAATTCTATTCTAGCACAAAAACATAGAGCTATTTATTTTATTTGCACTATTTTGCTACCAAAGTAGCAGTGTACTCCTCTACTTACTGACCGAAAGATACTGAACAAGTTATTTTTTTCAACCACAGTTTTGTCATTTGTAAAGTGGGGATAAAAGAAGCCCTAATAATATTGGTGTGTTAAGAAACTGAGATATAGTCATTCCCAGCATCTGACTGTTGAGCACTCTCCAACTTTTCCTTTCTGTAATGCAATTCTTGTAAAAAACAAAGTCTTGGCTTTAAATTCTGCTCTATGATCTTTTTTTCTGCCAAATGTTCCAGGGTTATAATTATATTGTTTTCATATATTAATTCTATACTCAGATGGCCTGTCAATGATGTAGAATGAAGTATACTTATCTCTAAATCAGTAAGTCTCCAATTTTGGTATTTTTTTGGAAATGTCTTATATTTGTCATCTCTCTTTCCTTCCTAACACCGTAATTCTAGTTTGGGTGCTTATCATCTCATATTGGGATTACTGAGCAACACCTAGCAGGCATCGCTGATACCAGATTTCCCCAGTTCCATTCAATGTGCATTATGTTGCAAAGATTATTTTCTGTAAAAGTCATATCATTCCCCTTATCAACTTCAAGACATTCAGTGGATTGATAAAATTTTAAATTTTATTATGCCCTCCTAATTTCTTTCCTAGCTTTGATGGCTCTTTATAACAAAAAACATTTTTATCTCCCATTTCTCAATATCCCTCTTCCTATATACTCCAAACTCCAGGCAGGAAGTTTTTTTAGTGTGTTTGTTTGTTCTGACCTCTGTGCTTTTGAGTGCGCTATTCCATTCACCTGGCATGCTTCTCCTTTCCTGCTCATCTTTCAGGCATCATCCTGGTTTTTCTTTGCCCTTGATGCTTCCTACCCAAGTTAGATGAAACCTCACCAAATCATTATGTTTAGTACTCCTTTACCATTGATTTTTATACATACGGTAACTAATTGATCCTGACCTTTTTTTATTGTGGTAAAATATTTATAACATAAAATTTACTATATACCATTTTTGAGTGCACGATTCAGTGACATTGGGTACATTCACATTGTTGTGCAACCATGACTACTCTCCGGCATCTCCAGAACTTTTTAATCATCCCAAATTGAAACTCTGTACCATTAAACAATTACTCCCCGTTTTCCCCTCCTCCAAACCCTGGTGGCTACCATTCTATTTCATTTCTCTATAAATTTTACTGTTCTAGGTACCTCATATAAGTGGAACCATATATTTATCCTATTGTTTCTAGCATATTTCACTTATCACAATATTCTCAAGGTTTCTCGTATCCCATGTTATAGCATGTGATAGGAATTCCATTCCTCTTAAAGGCTAAATAACATCCCATTATATGTATAGGCCACTTTTTGTTTATCTGTACATCTGTTGATGAACTTTTGGGTTGTTTCTACTTTTTGGCTATTGTGCATAATGCTTCTATGACTGTTGGTATACAAATATCTGTTCAAGCCCCTGCATTCAATTCTTTTGTATACATATGCAGAAGTGGAATTCTGGGTCATATAGTATTTCTATGTTTAAATTTTTTGAAGAACAGCCATTGTATCTTCACAGTGCCTGCATCATTTAACATTCCCACCAGCAATATACAGAGGTTCCCATTTCTCCATGTCGTTGCCAGTAGTTGTTATTTTCTGCTTTTTGGACAATAGCCATCTTAATGGGTGTGAAGTGGTATCTCATTGTGGTTTCAATTTGCATTTCCTAATGATAGTGATGTCGAACACCTTTTAAAATGCTTCTTGGCCACTTTTATATCTTCTTTGGAAAAATGTCTATTCAAGTCCCTTGTCAATTTTGAATTGAGTTGTTTGGTTTTTTGTTTTTTAAACACACACAGTTTAACAGGTGTTTGAAGACATAAGTCATCACAAGGAATGTGAATTAATGCACTGTGTGTATAATGCAATGGGAATCATTGAGGAGGATAGGGCTTTTCAGTGGTCTCAGATGCATTGCTTCTTGAGTTATTGAGTATTGAGTATTGAGTTATTGGGTATTCTCTTTTTAGGTTTTCTGCCATTTTTTTTGGTTTGTTTATAGCAGCTCTTTTGTTGTTGTTGTTGTTGTTGTTGTTGTTTTTGGTATGGTGTGCCTGTCTATAAACTATTTTCTTTCTCACTTGATGCCTTAATCTAATTTTTTTCTTGAAAACCACATGATCTAATTTGTTAAAGTTACATATAAAGTTAGACTAAGTAAGCACTTTTCATGGCCTTAGAGATTCACCTATGGTAAAAAGTAGAAGCTTTATTGTACGAAGCTCATGATGTCACACATATTTCTTACTTTTGTTTCTTACTGATAGAGCTAAGTGAGATTTCTTGATGGTCTTGTTCTGGAGAAGTGAGGTTTTGCATTCATTCAAATTCATTCATTAAGGGTAGTAGCCATATTTGGTTGCTTACCTACCCTCTATATCTTACTATACTTATCATATTAATATTTAGTGGGTATCTAATGAATATATTAAGTTGCTTCATGGTAGGTTCCTTCAAGTTATATCACAGGGCAGTTTCTACATCCTCCCATGCCTATTTTAATAATATTTTTTCATTGATAAAATGATTCTAAAATCATAGTGATATGGTTTGGATGTTTATCACCTCTAAATCTCATGTTGAAATGTGATTTCCAGTTTTGGATATGGGGCTTGGTGGACAGTGATTGGATCAAGAGGGCGGATCCCTTATGAATGGTTTAGCACCATCCTCTTGGTGATAAGTGAGCTCATTTAGCTCATGTGAGATCTGATAGTTTAAAAGTCTGGGACTTACTCCCCATCTCTGTCTTGCTCCCTCTCTTACCATGTGAGATGCCAGCTCCCCATTTGCCTTCTGCTATATTTTTAAGCTCCCTGAGGCCCTTACCAGAAGTGGAGCAGACACAGGTGCCATGCTTCCTGTACAGCCTTCAGAATCACAAGCTAAGTAAACCTATTTTCTTTGTAAATTACCCAGTCTCAGGTATTCCTCTATAGCAGTGCAAAACTGACTGACACAGATAGGCATTATATTTTGCTGGAAGCTCCTTGTAAAGCAAAATCATGGTCATTGTAAGGAAGAGGCCTTTAGATTTGTTTTGATTCTTTAAAAATATTGACTTTTTTATTATTATTAATAAATTATTAATCTTTGCTTTGTTACAAATCCCAAAACTTAGTGTTTAAAACAAAGATCATGAGCTCATTTGCCTACAACTCTGTGGGTCAGTATTTTTAGGTTAGCCTCATCTGGGGTATTCTGATAATCTCACTTGTGGCTACAGTCAGCTGGAGGGTGGCTAGGATCTCTGGTTGGTTCCATATGTCCCTTTTTGCAAGTGTGACAGTTGATTTGGATGGCCAGGGTGAGTGGGTCACATATCCACCCTCTAGCAGGCTCGCCTAGGTTTCTTCACAGGGTTCTAAAAGCAACAGGTAAAAGCACACTCCAGTGTGCCAGCTTTCTTCTTGTCTCTGCTAGGGTCCTTTGGCCAAAGGAGTCACGTGGCTAAGCCCAGATTCAGGAGAAAGTGAAATAGATTTTATCTCTACATGGAAGGAGCTGCAACCTACTGTGATTAGTTTTTTGTCTTTGATCTACCACAAACATCAATATCAATTCATGGTCTTGATTTTTATTGATGTATTAACATTACCATATGAAAACAATATTTCAAAAATGTAACACTAACATTCTATATAGATTGAAGCAATAAATACACAATACTGAAATTGCATGAGGCTTGAAAATCATCTGTTTGAATTTATAGTTTAAAATATTTTCCAACAAGTGAAAAAACATCAATTATTTGTCTTTTTATCAGAATTTGCAAGGTGAGAGAATTACTAAAATGCCAAAATCTCTGTTATTAATCATACAAGACAACTGAAAGCCATAATTTTTAACATCAAATCGCTCCCCAAAGTAACTTTGTCCTTTTAAACGTTAACTTCTATAAAATATCAGAAAAGGGAAAAAAAAAGGAGTAAAAAAGCAAATGTAGAGTAAAATTGTAGTCATAAATCTATTGAAGTTACCTAAGTTATTTGGAAACTAATTACAGCTATGTGCAAAGCAAATGAAGTGAGAATTGAATTAATGAATATCAGCTACCTCCCACAAGCTAATGAGGCATGCTCTATACGAATAGTGCCTCAAATTGAAAAATTAAACCTCTTGATGGGGAGAAAAGGGAGCATCTCATGTACAGAATAGCACACAAAGCCAAAGGACTTACCAAATGAGTTCTCTGGGATTAACAGTATTTGCTTATTAGTCTATGATATGGTCTATAGACTGTAGAATCCCTGTGATTCCCCCATCTTTGCTTTTTTTTCTCCGACCGCCTCCAAAACAATTCATGCACAGTGGTTTGCTTTAGCCCCACAGAGTCAATGTAGGTAAAAGTGCTAGTGTTCAAATTCATTTATATTTCTCAGGTGTTATGCTTAACTTCAGTGCAATGGTAGCCTTTCTTTTTGCTTTTCTTGGCATGACCATATAAGTGATTTACAACCAGGTTCTTTTTATGTTTTCCCTCACTAAACTCATATATAATGATATGAGAAATATATATATGAGAAAATATGGAAACAAATATATATATATTTTCTTTTGAAATTTTTTGCTTCCATGTTTTCTCTTATGTTTACCCTTTTACATTCATAAATCAACATGCCCATCTTACAGTTACTGCACTTAGTATATCTCCCTTTCACTCAAGTTATATTTTTGACTTTTTTAGGAGAAATGTATGTGAGAAAAATATATACAAAAACAGAAGCAAAAATTTCTAAAAGTAATATATATTTTCTTTTGGAATTTTTGCTCCCATGTTTTTTCTCTTGTTCACCTTTTACATTCATAAATCAAGATCCTGATGTTATAGTTACTGTACTTAGTATATCTTCTTTTTGCTGTACATCTCAAATTATATATTTTTTTAGGAAGCCACTATGTTACACAAAATATATTTCTTAATGTTAAAAATACTTTTGTTAAGAATGTGTAAAGACAGGCACAATTTTTGAAACTAATTTTAAACTTTTTAAAAAGATTTAATTAATAAAGGTAACACAAATAGTAACATACACACTCACACGACATGTCTTAAATGTTGATAATTTTGAATTTAGAGACATAAAATAAAGACATTTGTTCAAGTCCTGGAAAATTTTGGAAACTTTAGAAAAAATGTTGTGGCCAAAATATAAATGTTTTTGTTTGCCTAGGTTTTGCCCTCTGGGTAGCAAATAAGATCATCTTATTAAAGACGTAAAACAAAAAGTTATTTTATAGAGTTAATAAGAATAACTTATGTGAAAGGTTAGTTGTTAAACATTTAAAATTTTTAATTTAATTTAATTTTATTTTAAGTTCCAGGATACATGTGCAGGGCATGCAGGTAAAAGTGTGCGATGGTGGTTTGCTGCACCTATCAACCCATCACCTAGGTTTTAAGCTCTGCATGCATTAGCTATTTATCCTGATACTATCCCTCCCCCAACCCCACCCCTGACAGGCCCAAGTACATGTTGTTCCCCTCCCTATGTCCATGTGTTCTCATTGTTCAGCTCCCACTTATAAGTGAGAACATGCAGTGTTTGGTTTTCTGTTCCTGTGTTAGTTTGCTGAGGATAATGGCTTCCTTGAAATAATAAGACAGTTATTATTGATGACAAACCTATAGCCAATATTATACTGAATGTGCCATTTATGACAAACCTATAGCTAATATCATATGAATGTGCAAAAGCTGGAAGCATTCCCCTTAAAAACTGGCACAAGACAAAGACGTCCTCTCTCACCACTACTGTTCAACATAGTGTTGGAAGTTCTGGCCAGGGCAATTAGGCAAGAGAAAGAAATAAAGGGTATTCAGACAGGAAGAGAGGAAGTCAAACTGTCTCTGTTTGCAGACGACATGATCCTTTATCTAGAAAACCCCATTGTCTCAGCCCAAAAGCTCCTTAAGCTGATAAGCAACTTCAGCAAAATCTCAGGATACAAAATTAATGTGCAAAAATCACAAGCATTCCTATACGCCAACAATAGACAAGTGGAGAGCCAAATCATGAATGAACTCCCATTCACAATTGCTACAAAGACAATAAAATACATAAGAATACAGATAACAAGGGACGTGAAGGACCTCTTCAAGGAGAACTAAAAACCACTGCTTAAGGAAATCAGAGAGTACACAAACAAATGGAAAAACATTCCATTCTCATGGATAGAAAGAATCAATATAGGGAAAATGGCCATACTACCCAAAGTAATTTATAGATTCAATGCTATTCCCATTAAACTACCATTGACATTCTTCACAGAATTATAAAAAAACTACTTTAAATTTCATATGAAACCAAAAGAGAGCCCATATAGCCAAGACCATCCTAATCAAAAAGAATAAAGCTGGATGCATCATGCTACCCAACTTCAAACTATACTACAAGGCTACAGTAACAAAAACAGCGTGGTACTGGCAGAATAACAGACACGTAGACCAATGGAACAGAATAGAGAACTCAGAAATAAGACCAAAAACCTAAAACTATCCGATCTTCAACAAACCTGACAAAAACAAGCGATGGGGAAAGGATTCCCTATTTAATAAATGGTTCTGGGAAAACTGGCTGGGCATATAAAGAAAATTGAAACTGGACCTCTTCCTTACACCTTATACAAAGGTTAACTCAGCATGGATTAAAGACTTAAATGTAAAACCCAAAACTATAAAAACCCTAAAAGAAAATCTAGGCAATACCATTCAGGACATAGGAATGGGCAAAGATTTCATGACAAAAACATCAAAAGCAATTGCAACAAAAGCAAAAAAAGACAAATGAGATGTAATTAAACTAAAAAGCTTCTGCTCAGCAAAGAAACTATCATCAGAGTGAACAGACAACCTACACAATGGGAGAACAATTTTTCAATCTATTCACCTGACAAAGGTCTAATATGCAGAACTTACAAGGAACTTAAATAAATTTACAAGAAAAAAAAAACAACCCCATCAAAAAGTGGGCAAAGGACATGAACAGACACTTCTCAAAAGAAGACATCTATGTGGCCAAAACACATGAAAAAAAGCTCAACATCACTGATCATTAGAGAAATGCAAACCAAAACCACAATGAGATACTATCTCATGCCAGTCAAAATGGCAATTATTAAAAAGTCAAGAAAAAACAGATGCTGGCGAGGCTGTGGAGAAATAAGAATGCTTTTACACTGTTGGTGGGAATGTAAATTAGTTCAATCATTGTGGAAGACAGTGTGGCAATTTCTCAAAGATCTAGAACCAGAAATACCATTTGACCCAGCAATCCCATTACTGGGTATATACTCAGAGGAATAGAAATCATCCTATTATAAAGATGCATGTGTATGTTCGCCGCAACACTATTCACAATAGCAAAGGCACAGAATCAACCCAAATGCCCACCAATGATAGAAAGGATAAAGAAAATGTGGTACATATACACCATGGAATACTATGCAGCCATAAAAAGGAATGAAATTATATCCTTTGAAGGGACATGGATGGACATTTAAAAATTTTATCCTTTTTTTAAGGACAAAATTTAAAATTTTGGACATAAATTTTTTAAGGACAGTATTAAAAAATAATGTTTTCTTCACCTTTGGAGGAAAATGTAATCATTTAGATATGTTGTTTTTTTTCCATGCATAAAAAATACTAATAATTAAAAAACTTTCTGGTTATAAAGACATTTTAGAAAATTATAAGTAACAAATACACATCATTTATAATATCACCTAGGATTTATTAATGTTTTGGCATATTTCTTTCTCACCTTTCTTATGTGTATGTGTACTATTTAAATAAAACTTTATACTCTATATAATTTATATTCTTTATATTCTCTATATATGTAGTTTATATATTCTGACTTTGCATTTAATGTTATCATGAGCATTTTTCTATGATATAAAATATACATCAGAGTATGCATTAAATATACCCCCAAACCATCATATTATTGCTTCCTAATATTCCATCCTATGGGTTTACTATTATTTTTTAAAATTACTGTTCTATTATCTATATTTCAAATAAGATAATGAAAAGCTACCTATTAAATATACCAGTATTAGAAAATTTTAAGAGCTCTAATATATTCTCCTTCTTTCCTTGCCTTCCTCTCTTCCTCCCTCCTCTTTGTCTCTCTCTCACTCTCCCCCTCACCCTCTCTTTCTCTCTCTCTCCTGTAATAAAAAATTCTAATAAGAATAATCTAGCCATTTTGTCCACTGATTTTTTTAAGGCTTCTAAGTACCTGCCATCTCTTTTTAATCATTTAAGCCTTTATAGGCTATTCTGTTATTATTTAATAACTATGTTTTTATGAGAACTTATGAAATAAAAAATGACGTAATTAAAATAAAGGGGCAAGTATAGTGGGTTACCGTTATGAACTAGTTTCAGATTTGCAACAATATATTTCATTAACAAAGGTATAGCTATAATCGTGCAAATACACAACCTAAACGTCACTCAATCAGTATTTATTACGTCCATCCCTTGCTGTCATTAACACAGGACTTCTTAAACATTCTTACTTCCTCTATCTTGTGTGGTTACGATAAAGCTTGAAGCCACTCAAACAGAGGCTTAGGCTTTCAGTGTTTGGTGCCAGTTTTTAATCTTGATTACTCATAACAACTGGCAGAATACAAATTGTTTACCCTAAATAATGGATCACCAATGTCTCCATAGGGAGTTATGAAAACTTCTGCTGGGACTCAGCAGAAATGTGGATGCAGTATTCTTCTCAATTGTTTACATTCTGCTAGTTACTATGGCTATAATTTATCTTCAGGGAATATTGAGACCCTTCTCTAAAGGCTGAGCTATTCATAATTTTATTAAATATAAATATAGGAAGATGTAAACTGCTTCTGAGGGTAATCTATAGCTGTTTCACATATACCACAGGACCAGACATGGATAAGTGTGCAATAAGCAATGGATGTATGTAGCATACATAGTTATTGCCTTTTCTTGCTTACCTATAGACAATTGATGTGGTATTATGAATTTATCAAGAGCTTTGTATGTACAGAAATGATTCTAAGCAATTTATTTACTATGAGATACGTATTCAAATTATCTGTACTTTGAGAAAACTAATGTACAAATAAGCTAAAATATAGACCAAGGATGAAGCCATCTCATTTCAGAGCCACATTTTTAACTGCTATGCCATGCTCCACCTCTATGTGTAAAATAGTCTGACTCATTTGGGAGAGATGGATTTAATAATTACATAAGAGAAACATTAATATATTGGACCTAATTCAATCATGGAGATAAAATATTTTCAGGAATAATTGAACACTAGTCTTAAAATGAAACAAATACAAGCTTAGATCTTATATCATCCACTTAATAGTTGTGTAAACTTGTTCAAGACACTTCAAATAAACATTTCAACTAATGCTATGAGAATTGTGTATAGTTAATTGCATGATAATCCATCGAGAAATATTAAGATTTTATTACCATCTGTAAAATAGAGCACCGAACTATAAACTTGGAGGCCAAGTCTAGTTTTTATTTTTCACTAGTTGGTTGTTTAGATAAATTACATAAAATTCTTTTATTTCCCCACTTATTAGAACAATTTTTAACCATATCCTCTAAAATTATCACAGGAATGTTAGAAAAATGGGAAAGTAAATGAAAATGCTTTGAAAAAGTATGTTATAAATTCAAACTGGTGTCATTGCTATAAACAGAACTCAAAAATATTAAGTTCTATGTGATATTTAGGTCCTTTTTAAGGTCTCTCTTATGTCCAAATGGCTGCTTGTGTTAAGAACAGTTGGTGGTTACTGAAATCAAACAATATCTGTTTGCGGTGGGAAGGTATATGTCCTATAAGTTTCCTTCTGCTATGATTTTATATTAAGTTTTCTGAGGCTTCCATACATAAGAAAACTAACCATAATAATGTTTTAAAATATGTCTTATATATAACTTATATGTATATATACAAATGTCTATATGACTATATGCATACACACCCACCTAGATATATTTCTCAGCTTTAGAATCACAGTGCTTATTCAAGTTAGAGGCATTTTTGGAAGTTGATCTCATTCAAACCCCACATTTTGTGATCAATAATAATGCATCATTGTTGCCATTAACACTATTTCCAAATTAAGAGTAAAACCAAGTTTCCTGCAACAGAATACAGGGCATTTTCCATTTTCTGTGGAAGTGGTTACCTCTACCAGTGTTCTGACGTGCTATTTTCTTTATTTGATCTTATCCTTTGTTTTTCTTTCTTTCCATTTTGTTAATTTCTTTTTCATTTTCAAAATGTCCTTCTCTTCCACTCTTTTATAATAAATTCACATCAGAGATTTTTAAAATAGGACCAAAATTGGTTAAGGAAAATGAAATAACTTCCATCTATTCACATTTTTGGAATAAAAGATTCTTTTAATTTTACCATATTTGGTTAAATATATAGCTGCCATGAAAAGGCCAGTTTAGGCTCTTTTTTATATACAATTTTTATTTTTAATTTTTGTGGGTACATAATAGGTGTATACATTATGGGATACTTGAGATATTTTGATACAGGCATACAATGCATAGTAATCACATCAGGGTAAATGGGGTATTAATCACCACAGCATTTATCCTTTTTATTTGTTAAAAACAATCCAATTCTATTGTTTTAGTTATTTTTAAATGTACAGTAAATTATTGTTGACCATCGTCACCCTATTACACTATCAAATACCAGCTCTTGTAGATACTATCTTATTATTTTTCCATACCCATTAACCATCCCCACGTTTCCTCCCACCCAGGAATTCCCTTCCCAGTCTCTAGTAACCATCATTTTATTCTCTATCTCCATAAGTACAATTGTTTTAATTTTGTGAGAATATATGAAGTTTGTCTTTCTGTGCCTAGCCTATTTAACTTAACTTCCAATTCCATCCATGTTCTTGCCTATGACAGGACCTCATTCTTTTTAAAGTATATGTGTGTCACATTTTGTGTGTATCCACCCATTATCCATTTGTCTGCTGATGGATGCTTGGGTTGCTTCTTAATCTTGGCTCTTGTGAATAGTGTCACAATAAACATTTGAGTGCAAATATCTCTTTAATATACTAATTTCCTTTATTTGGGGTATATATCTAGCAGTGGGATTGCTAGATCATATGATATTTCTATTTTTAGTTTTTTGTTTGTTTTGAGATGGAGTCTTGTTTTGTCACCAGGCTGGAGTGCAGTGGTGTGATCTCAGCTCACTGCAACCTCCACCTCCAGAGTTCAAGTGATTCTCCTGCCTCAGCCTCCTGAGTAGCTGGGACTGCAGGTGCACACCACCACGCCCAGCTAATTTTTGTATTTTTAGTAGAGATGGAGTTTCACCATGTTGGCCAGGATGGTCTTGATGTCTTGACCTGGTGATCCACACTGTTCTTCGTTGTGGTTGTACCAATTTACATTCCTTCCAACAGTGTACAAGGGATCCCTTTTCTCCACATCTTCACCAGCATTTCTTATTGTCTGTCTTTTGGATAAAAGCCATTTTAACTAGAGTGAGGTGAGATCTCATTGTAATTTTGATTTGCATTTCTCTATTAATCTTTTGTCAGATGTATAGTTTGTAAATATTTTTCTCCCATTCTGTGGGTTATTTCTTCACATTGCTGATTGTTTCCTTTGCTGTGCAGAAAGCTTAAAACTTGATGTAATTCCATTAGTCCATTTTTGCTTTAATTGCCTGTTCTTGTGGGGGTATTACTCAATAAATCTTTGCCCAGTCCTATGTCCTGGGGAGTTTTCCCAATGTTTTCTTCTAGTAAAAAAGACCTCATAGTTTAAGGTCTTAGATTTAAGTCTTTAACCCATTTTGATTTGATTTTTGTATATGGCAAGAGATAGGGGTCTAGTTTCATTCTTCTGCATAAGAATATCCAGTCTTCCTGGAACTATTTATTGAAGAAACTGTCCTTTTTCCAGTGTATGTTCTTGGTATCTTTGTCAAAATGAGATAACTGTACATGTATGAATTTGTTTCTGAGTTATTTATTCTGTTCCATTGGTCTATGTGTCTGTTTTTATGCCAGTACCATGCTGTTTTTGGTTATTATAACTTTGTAGTATAATTTGAAGTCAGGCAATGTGATTGCTCTAATTTTATTGTTTTTGCTCAGGATAACTTTGACTATTCTGGGTGTTTTGTGGTTCCATATACATTTTAGGATTGCTTTTTCTATTTATGTGAAGAATATCATTGGTATTTTGATAGGGATGGCATTGAATTATGTAGATTGCTTTGGGTTATATGGACATTTTCACAATATTGATTCTTTCAGTCCATGAATATGAAATATCTTTTGATTTTATGGTATTATTTTCAATTTATTTCATCAATGTTTTATGGTTTTCACTATAGAGATCTTTCACTTCTTTGGTTAATTCCTAGGTGTTTAATTTTATTTGTAGCTATTGTAAATTGGATTACTTGTTAAATTTCTTTTTCAGAATGTTTGCTATTGGCATATAGAAATGTTACTGCTTTTTGTATGTTGATTTAGTATCCTGCAACTCTACCGAATTCGTGTATCAGCTGTAATTATTTTTTGGTGGCATCTTGAGGATTGTCCAAATATAAGATCATACCATTTGCAAACAAGGATAATTTGACTTCTTTTCCAATTTGGATGCCCTTTATTTCTTTCTCTTGTCTGATTGCTCTAGCAGGACTTCTAATACTATGTTAAATAACAGTGGTGATAGTGGGCATTTTTGTTGTGTTCTAGATTTTCAAATAAAGTCTTTTCAGTTTTTCTCCATTAGATATTATACTAGCTGTGGTTCTGTCATATATGGCTCCAATTATGTTCCTTCTTTACCTAGGTTTTTTGGCAGTTTTAATTATGAAGGCATGTTGAATTTTATTAAATGCTTTTTTAACATCAATTAAAATGATTGTATGGTTTTTGCCCTACATTCTGTTGGTAGGATGTATCACATTGATTTGCATATGTTGAACCACCCTTACATCCTTGGGATAAGTTGTACTTGATCATGATGAATATCTTTTTAATGTGTTGTTGAATTTGCTTTGCTAGTATTTTATTGGGGATTTTTGCATCAATGTTCATCAGGGATAGTGGCCTGTAGTATTCTTTTTTTGAGGTGTCTTTATCTGGTTTTGGAAGCAAGGTAATACTGGCCTTGTAGAATAAGTTGGAGGTATTGCCTCCTTCTCTATTTTTCAGAACAGTTTGAGTAGGATTGGTATTTTAATGTTTGATAAAATTCAGCAGTGAAACCATCGGGTACCAGACTTTTCTTTGTTGTGAGACTTTTTATTACTGCTTCAATCTTGTTATTTATTATTGGTCTGTTTAGGCTTTGAATTTCTTCATGACTCAATATTGATAGCATGTATGTGTCTAGGAATTTATCCATTTTTTTCTGGGTTTTCCAATTGATTGGCATATAGTTGCTCACAGTAGCCACTAATGATCCTTTGAATTTCTGCAGTATCAGTTGTAATGTTGCCTTTTACATCTCTGATTTTATTTGCATCTTCTTGCTTTTTTTCTTGGTCTGGCTAAATGTTTGTCAATTTTGTTTATCTTTAAAAAAACAACTTTTTATTTCATTGATCTTTTGTATTATTTTCTTTATTTTAATTTCATTTATTTCTGCTCTGATCTTGTGTGTGTGTGTGAGACAGGGTCTTGCTCTGTCATCCAGGCTGATGTGCAGTGGCACAATCATGGCTCACTGAAGCCTTGAACTCTGGGGCACAAGTGATCCTCTCACCCCTGCCTTCTGAGTAGCTGATACTACAGATGTGTGCCACCCCACCCAGCTCAATTTTTTTTTCTTTTTTTTTTTTTTTTTAGAGACAGAGTCTCATGTTGTCCAGGCTGGTCTTGAACTCCTGGCCTCAAGCAGTCCTCCTGCCTTGGCCTCCTAAAGGCTAGGATTACAGACACTTGGTCTGCCCTCATCTTTTTTATTTCTTTTCTTCTGCTAATTTTGGATTTAGTTTTCTCTTGCTTATCTAGTTCTTTAAGATGCATCATTAGGTTGTTTACTTGCAGTTTTTCTACTTTTTAACATAGTTGTTTATAGCTATAAACTTCCCTCTTTGTACTGTTTTTACTGTATGCCATAGGTTTTAGCATGTTGTATTTTCCTTATCATTTGTTTTAAATTTTTTTCAATTTTCTTCTTAATTTCTTCATGGAACCACTGACCATTCAGGAGCATATTGTTTAAATTTCACGTGTTTGTATAGTCTCCAAAATTCCTCTTGTTATTGATTGTTAGTTTTATTCCATTGGGGTCAGAGAAAATACTTGATATTATTTTTATTTTTTTGAAATTTTAAAGTCTTTTTTGGTGGCCTAACATATGGTCTATCCTTGAGAATGATTCATGTGCTGAGGAGAAGAATGTGTATTCTGCAGCTGATGGATGAAATGTTCTGTAAATATCAATTAGATTTGTTTGGTCTATAGTACACATTAAGTCTGATGTTTCTTTGTTGCAGGAAGTCAGGGACCCTGAACGGAGGGACCTGCTGAAGTCGTGATAGAAGAACATAAATTGTGAAGATTTCATGGACTTTTGTTAGTTCTCCAAACTAGTACTCATAATTTCTTATGCCTGTCTTTACTGCAATCTCTGAATATAAATTGTGAAGATTTCATGGATGTTTATCACTTCCCCAGTCAATACTCTTATAATTTCCTATGCCTGTCTTTACTTTAATCTCTTAATCCCATCATCTTCGTAACCAGAGGATGTATGTTGCCTCTGGACCCTGTGATGATTGCGTTAACTGCACAAATTGTTCGTAAAGCATGTGCGTTTGAACAATATGAAATCTGGGCACCTTAAGAACAGGATAACAGCGATTTTCAGGGAACAAGGGAGATAATCTTGAAGTCTGGCTGCCTGGGAGCCGGGCGGAACAGAGCCATATTTCTCTTATTACCGAAAACGGGTAAGAGAAATATCGCTGAATTCTTTCCCCAGTAAGGAATATGGGGGCCTCTAAAATGGCTGCTCTGGGAGTGTCTGCCTTATGCAGTTGCAGATAAGGGATGAAACACGCCCTGGCCTCCTGCAGCGCTCCCAGGCTTGCTAGGATTAGGAAATTCCAGCCTGGCAAATTCTGATCAGACTGGTTCTCTGCTCTTGAACACTGTTAAGATGTTTATCCATGACATTGCGTGCACAATGGGACATGGAAGTTCATTAGTGATTCTAGTTTTGCCCTGACCTTGTGATTTTGCCCTGACCTTCTGCCTTGTTATCCCTTGAAGCATGTGATCTCTGTGACCCACACCCTATTCGTACACTCCCTTCACTTTGAAAATTGCTTAATAAAGACTTGCTGGTTTTATGGCTCAGGGGGCATCACGGAACCTGCTGACATGTGATGTCTCCCCTGGACACCCAGCTTTAAAATTTCTCTCTTTTGTATTCTTTCCCTTTATTTCTCAGACCAGCTGACACTTAGGGAAAATAGAAAAGAACCTACATTGAATTATCAGGGGTGGGTTCCCCCGATATTTCTTTGTTGATTTTCTGTCTGGACAATCTGTCCAAAGCTAAAAGTGGGGTGTTGAAGTCTCTAGCTATTATTGTATTGGGGATCTCCCTTGAGCTCTAATATTTACTTTATATATCTAGGTGCTCCAGTGTTGAGTACATGTATATTTACAATTGCTATATCCTCTTGCTGAACTGACCCTTATTCTAGGGTAAACATTTTTTTTTTAGCTCTTTAAATATGTCATGCCATTGTCTCCTGGCCTGTAGGGTTTCCACAGAAAAGTCTTCTGCAAGATGTACTGGAGCTTTTTTGTATGTTGTTTCTTTTCTCTTGCTGCTTTTAGTATCTTTTCTTTATCCTTTGACTTTTGGGAGTTTGATTATTGAATGCCTTGAGGTAGTCTTCTTTGGTTTAAATCTGCTTGGTGTTATGTAACCTTCTTGTAGTTGGATACTGATATCTTTCTCTAAGTTTGGGAAGTTCTCTGTTATTATTCCTTTGAATAAACTTTCTACCCCTATCTCTCTCCCTACCTCTTGTTTAAGGCCAGTATCTCTTAGATTTGCCCTCTTGAGGCTATTTTATAGATATTGTAGGTGTTCTTGTTTTTTAAATTCTTTTTTTCTTTTGTCTCCTCTGAGTGTGTATTTTCAAGTAGCCTATCATCAAGCTTACTAATTCTTTCTTTTGCTTGATCAACTCTGCTGTTAAGAGACCACTGCATTCTTCAGTATGTCAGTTTCATCTTTCAACTCCACAATTTCTGCTTCTTTTAATTATTTCAAGGTTTTTGTTAAATTTCTCTGATAGAATTCTTAAATCCTTCTTTGTGTGACCTTCAATTCCACTGAGTTTCCTCAACAGCTATGGATTATCTGTCTAAAATGGCCCACATCTCTGTCTCTTCAGAATTGGTCCCTGGTGCCTTATTTAGTTCATATGATAAGGTCATGTTTTCCTGGGTGGTGCTGATGCTTGTGGATATTCGTTGGTGTCTGGATATTGAAGAGTTAGGTGTTTATTATAGTCTTTGCAATCCGGGCCTCTTTGTACCTGTCCTTCTTGGGAAGGCTTTCCTAGATATCAAAGGGATTGGGTGTTGTGATACAAGTTTTTGGTCACTGCAGTCACATCTGCATTATGGGGCACCACAAGCCTACTAAGGCTGTGGCTCTTGCAGACTTGTAGAGGTACTGCTTTGGTGGTCTTGGATAAGATTCAGATACATTCTCTGGATTACCAAACTGAGACTCCTGTTCTCTTCCCTTACTTTATCACAAACAAATGGAGTCTCTCTCTGTGTGCTGAGCTGCTGGAACTGGGGGAAGGGTGACATAATTAACCCTGTGGCCACCACCACTGGGACTGTTCTGAGTCAGACCTGAAGCCAGCACAGAACTGGGTCTTGCCCAAGACCTGCAGCAACTACTACCAGGCTATTGCCTGTGTTCTCTCAAAACCCTAGGGCTCTACCACCAGCAGGTGGCAAAGCCAGCCAGGCTTGTGTCCTTCCTTTCAGGACAACAAGTTCTCTTGGAGTGTTTCCAGCAATACCATCCAGGAGCCAGAGTCTGGAGTCAGAAACCTTAGGAATCTCCCTGGTCCTCTATTCTGCTGTTGCTGAGCTGGCACCCAAAGCACAAGACAAAGCTATTCCCACTCTTCCCTCCCTTTCCCAAAAGCAGAGGAGTCTCTCCCCATGGCCACCACTGCCCCAGGACTACCTGGCTACTGCCAGTGTTTACTCAATGCCCAAGGGCTCTTTAATCAACTTTTGGTGAGTGCTGCCAGGCCTGAGACTCTCCCTTCATGGCAGTGGGCTCCCTTCTGACTCAGGGCATGTCCAGATATGCCATCCAAGAGTGAAGACCTCGAACTGGGGACCCCAAGAGCCTGTTTGGTGTTCTATCCTACTGTGGCCAAACAAGACAAAGTCTGCTTTACTCTTCCCTCTCATTTTCTAAAGCAGGAGTTTCTGCCTGTAGCCACCACAGCTGGGAATGTGCTGGGTCACACCTGAAGCCAGCACATCTCAGTCTCACCCAAAGCCCATGGCAAGTACTAGCTGGCTGCCACTGATGATTTTTCAGGGCCCAAGGGATCTTTAGTCCTCAAGTGATAAATGCTGCTAAGACTGGCTCCTTCTCTTCAAGGCAGTGGATTCCTTTCTCACCCAGGGTTTGTCTAGAAATGTTATCCAGGAGTTAGGGTCTGGAATGGGGGCTTCAGGACTTTGCCTGGTACCCTATTCTACTATGACTGAGCTGATATTCAACTTGCAAGACAAAGTCCTCATTACCCTATCCTCTCCTTTCCTCAGGCAGAGGAAAGGAGTCTCTCCTGGAGCTGTGAGCTGTGCTACCTGGGAATGGGTGAGGGGTGGTGCAAGCACTCGTTTAGCTACCCCAGCTGCTGTCTTACTAGGTTGCATGTTCCCAGGTCTACTGGCTCTGAGCCCAACACAGCACTAGCACTTGCTTAGTGGTAGTCGTTAAGGCTTAGACTGCCTTTTGAGTTTATTTAGGACTCCAGAGTACTTTAGCCTTTGGCGGTAAAGCTTGGTGGAACTCAGGTTCTGACTGCTGGAATGGGCAATTCCCCTTTGGCTAGGGCTGCTCAAAAAGCTCCCTCCATGGGAGCTGGCTGAGTTCTGCCCAGTGTTGCTTTCTGCTGTGACAGGGCAGCACTGAGTTCCAATGCAGAATCCCATAATCACTGCATTCTGCCTCTCCCAAATGCACAGATTTTGTCTCCATGCCATGTGGCCACTGCCAAGGAATGGGGGAGGAGTGGCATTGACAATTCAACACTTTCTTGGCTGGATGCAGTGGCTTATACCTGTAATCCCAGCACTTTGGGAAGCCAAGGTGGGAGGATCACTTGAGCCCTGGAATTCAAGACCAGCTTGGGAAACATGATGAAACCCTATTTCTACAAAAATACAAAAATTAGCTGGGATTGCTTGAGGCTGGGAGTTCAATGCTGCAATTGAAGTGACTGTGTTATTTGGGGTATAAACCCGGGGTTTGTCATCATGTGCCAGGAAAATTTAGGGCATGGACACACATGAGGAGTTTAGGAGTGGAGGTTTAATAGGTAGAAGAGAAGAGAAAGAGAAACAGCTTCCTCTATAGAGAAAGCAGTCTCCAAGTGGAAAAGGACTGGGTGGCAGCAAAGCGTTGAGTTTTATAGTCCAGTTTGAGGAGGCGGTTCTCCTCATTTACATGGGGATCACAAATTGATTCAATCAGGTATGACGTTTCCATAGTGCTCTGGGAAGGCTGGTTGCTCCACCCTAATCTTCTTATGCAAATGGACCTTCCAGTTGATCGGTGCCATCTTGTCTGCTCCTTACAGTGCAGGTGGCTGGCAAAGAAGGGATGGTGGAGCCACCATTTTGAAAATGCCTAGTCCTTAGTTCCTGCTGGCATTCACCTGTGCAAGCTCCCAGCTTGCAGGCTGCTGTTTGTTAGAAAATGATTTGGGGCTGCTTTTCATTAAAAAGAAAAGCCTTACCGAGGACTCCCATGCCCTTGCTATCTGCTTAAGTAATTACTTCTTGACTCCTATATGACAGTGAGCCATAATTGCGCCACTGCACTCCAGCCTGGGCAACAGAGCAAGACCTTGTCTCAAAATAAATAAATGAATAAATGAATAGTAAATAAATAAATGACAAAAAAAAGATTTTCCTACCTTTCTCAGTGCCTCTTTCAATGATATGAAGTAAAAACCAGGTAGTGTGATTGCTCACCTGATTTGTGGTTCTTATGAAGGTGCTTTTTTTGTGTGGATGGTTGTTGTGTTTAGTGTTCCTGTAGGGAGGAAGATCAATATAAGCTTCTATTTAGCCATCATGCTGTGTCTCTCTCTCTGCTTCTCATGTAGTTAGGGACATTCATGACCCTGAGGCAAACAGTGCTCCCCCATGATAGATGGTGCAAGTGATCTAGCTCAGATTTTTATTAAGAAGTTATATAATGTATAGAATCCACATGCCATCTCCCAAGTAGGTGGACTGCTTATGGACATAGATTTCTCAGGAAGTCATGGTCTTCACAAAGCCTCTATACTTCTCCCTTAACCAGGAATGATGAGCCCCTTTTTTGAGGCAAAATACCCAACTGTGAATAGAGAGGTTTCTTTGTTCAGTAATGTAGCTCCCAACTTTCTTTGAACCCAGTTGGATAACCAAATTTGATATTTTCTAACCTCAGACCACTGTTGGAGACAATGAATCTACTACATTTCTCTTCTGTTTTAAAGGAAGTTTATATACACAGTATAGGAGGACAGATGATATACTTTATTGGATTATTTTCCTTACATTCTTTTCAAAATAATTAAGATAGTGGCTTATTAAACAAGCACTACTTAATGTAATCAATAGTTCATTTCTTATACTTTAAAATAGAACTGTGATGGACAGGGATGGGTAGAAGGGATGATTAAAGAATTGGGTGGGAAATTATAGATTCATTTGACAAATAATATGTTAGTACTGCAGTAAGTCCTTGAAACTCTAATAAGAAAAGTGCAGGACCAATAAAAGAAAATTTAAAAATTTACCCAGTGAGTAGTTTATTGAGCTCATGCCTTTGGGGAGCATTTTTAGGGAAGCCAGGCAAGGCCTTCCTGAATTACCTACCATTTGGCTATATTATCAATGACTAAATATTAAATAGGGTGGGTCAAGGTCCTTACCTAGTGAAGTTATTTGTCTGTTACTTTTGCACTTAGGTTCATAAGCAGTCCTAGCTTCCATGATGGACACTGATAGAAAATCTACTTTTAAGACTGCTCAAAAAGAAAGCTTTGCTGGCAGCTTAGGTACACTTTTGAAAGGGACGTGACATCAGCAGTGCTTATGAGTTTCTTATGAAAATTTAATGGAACTTGTGATATAAAATGAAATATTGGATCAACTTATGACAGGCTGCCTTTAATGACAGTTCAAGATACAAATAACTCATTTCAGAGACCATTTACCTAAGGCTTTTAAATTAAATTTTCTAAGTACCTTGCATATTCAACTCTACATTTAAAGCAAACAGAATTCCACTTTAGGGAACTGAAGCTATTTATGGTCATAAAAAAATAGATTCAGATAGGCCTTTCAATAAAAGGGTCAGTGTATCAAAAATCTGAAAGATATTACTGTAAATAAAAATCTTTATTAAGAACTAAAGAGTGCAATTGATTTTAAAGGTTGCTATTCTTTCTGGCACATAATAAAATAAAATAATAATGATCAATACTAAAATGTTCCCTAGAAAGGAGGAGGTCCTGAAGCAATACAGAGCTCTGTGCCATTGATGAGGATTGGCCAGTACATAAAAATGATGGGTTGGAGGACTGTGTGAATGAAACCCAGTTACAAAGGCCAAAGGTCAGCAGTTCACCATTAGGTTTATTTGTTTCTTAGTCAGAAACGTTACTCTTAACTCCAGCAAAGACTCTGTTCACAAAAGGTTTTCACCCAAGTCAATTAGTTAATGTTTGTTGCTTAAAAGGTGTTTTGGCAATTAGGGCTGGCTCTAAGGAAAATAAATTAGTAATAGTTGAAATTAGTATTCGTCTCTTAACAGTTTTCTGTATCTTTTTCCTTGCTTTTGATCCACCTCTCTGCCACACATTTATACACACCTATAATAGAATAGAAGACTAAAGCAAACCTATGTAATTAGTGACTCAAAGTGTCATCCATTCTTCCTCATCCCTCCCAGGAATACTGGCCTGTTTAAAGAGAGCCCACAATGTTTTTCTGAAAGAGAGTCAAACAATGACCAATATTATTATACCCATTTTGCATATTGGAGAATTGAGATTGAGGGTAGAATAAACTTCTTATTTAAGGTCACATGGTTAGGAAGTTGCAGAACAAGAATTTATACCTACATCCAGTTAACTCCCAGGTTCTTGAACACTAAGCTATGTCACCTTCCAGTCTCTGGCGGATACTTTGCAGGTAATCCCTTAGGAAGATGAGGAAGAGTTCCTGCTCTCCCACAAAGCCACATTATATACCAACCTCTCCTCCACTGGTACACAAAAGCAGTCCATCTGGCCCAGGCCTCCTTAAGAAGTTGCCTTAGTTGCTAACTCATGGCTATTTATTCTGACTTTTACCTCAACCTTGGCCTCCCTTTAGATTTGCAGCAAGCCTTCATTTTTGAATTTTAACTCCTTTCACATTCCATGTTTCTTCCTGTCTCCTTAGGTTTTCACTCTCCTAGGATGACCCAGGTATAGAATCTGCCCCTATGGTTCAGCTCCACCCTCTCACCTGTCTCTTGAGAGCATTGTGAAGTTCTGAGACACAGCAAGGACAGAAACAGAGGGCATGGAAGATGCTTTCAAGTTGGTTTATTCTTACTGATTAAATTAACACTTCATGATTGTCTTAGTCTGCACAGGCTGCCATAACAAAATACCACAAACCGGGTGGCTTAACAGAAATTTTCTCACAGTTCTGGAGGCTGAAAGTCCAAGATCAAGGTACCAGCAGGGCTTGTTTCTTCTCAGGCCTCTCTCCTTGGCTTACAGATGGCATCTTCTTGCTGTGTCCTCGCATGGCCTTTTCTCTGTGCATGGAGAGAGAGAGATCTCTGGTGTCTTCTCCTCTTCTTAGAAGGATACAAGTCCTGTTAGATTAGGGCCTCACTTTTACAATCTCATTTAACCATAATCACTTCTTTAAAGGCCCTATCTCCCAATACAGTCACATTGAAGGTTAGGGCTTCAGACTACAAATTTTAGGGGAACACAATTCAGTCCATAATAATTATCCAAGTAGAAAGCAGGATATATGAGAATGAGGTAACTTGAGAATCTGACTTTATTTTTCTCTATATCTGTAAGCTAAGTCCCAGGCCTTTAGTGAAAGTTTCTTCCACTGCAGATAGAAAGAAAAAAAGGCCTTTATAGACATAAAAATGACTTAAGACATTTGCTTCTCTGATACTCACTTCTGAGAAATGCTTCTTTGTCTCTGTGCCCAACCATTTTTCATAACTGTATAGAATGAACATTCATCCTGATTGAGTAGAATAATAAATTTAGTAGTGCTCATTTGTCCTGACTAATTATTAATAGTGTCTTCTTTTTCTTCCAAAGTTTAGATGACACAGATGTCTAACCTATAAAGGAGTTTTTCAAGTTTAAGCTATTTTTTTACTACCTAGATTTAAGTAATTTTCTTATTTTCCTCTCCACATGAATATACCAATATATCTTTCATAACCCTTGAAGTTTTGTCTCTAGTCTTCTGAGTTTTGTGCTCTTGCCCCCTCTTCTGTTTGCATCTGTGGGCTTTCTTTCCTTTTACTGTCTTGCTCTGCATGTATGTACTCATATAATCAGTTTCTGTGAACTCTTGTCTGCTGCCAGGGGATTGGTTTCCTCCATGCTTGTTAATGGCAGTTACAATTTCTCACATTCAATCAATGCTAGAAGTTTGAGAAGTTAAGATTAGCAGCCACATGAGTTTTAACCAGATTTTAAAATGTGTGATGCTAATTTTATAGCTTTACTTACTACAGAAAAACATCCACACATCTCCTGTGGTAGCAGCTAAGCTGATTAGTGCATGGAGCTAATGAAACCCACAGCTTTGTCTCCCTTCCTAAGGCTGTCCATTGTTGTGTCTTATCTCTGGCGGAGGCCGGCTTCTATGGTCCTCCCTCTTGTCAGCCAATGATGTTGCTTACTGTTGGTCACAGGGGGCTTGGTAAGAGAGAGGATCGGCTTCCTTCCTGCTACTAAAAAACAACTTACGGCACTCACTGGGGAAGCAGAGTGCTCAGCAGGACAATCTTCTTATGTTAAGGTCAGCACGTTATTAAATATTCTCCATTAGGAGGTGATTGGATTAAATAATTAGTGAATGTAAAGTGCTTTAAACTGCTAATTATTATGCTTTGTGGGCCTACTTTGCGGATGATCCATAGTCAGTGAATCTATTACAAGGCATGAGGATCAGGATGATGTTCTCTCTCACTTATCTCCATTCCCCATGAGTGTTTACAATTATATCATGGATGAGTTTTGGCATTTTACAGCATTCGCAAACGTAATCTACCATGTGACTTCTCAAACTTGGGTACCCAAGAAAAACAGGGCGAGATAGCTAAGGAAACCTTTTTAGGAGAAAAGGAAGATTAGATACACTAGATTAGCAAACAGCTCACACTATTAATTATGTATCACCATACCAACATAAGTACTGTGAGTTTGTGTTGTGTAGGGAAAAAAAGAAGCCTAGAAATAAAGCTCAACTACTGATAGTCTCTTATGGGCTACTTGCTCTAAAAGTTCAATTTAATCTCCTGTTGCAGCATGGAGATTTGAGAGGTAGAGAAGTAATTACTCCTGTCCCTGGAAGATCAGGCTCTTGTCCATTAAGGAATTTAAGCCAGTTTTAGAGATGATTTAAAAAGCTATTTTGACATATACAGTACATAAAGTTGAATAACCATATCAGCATGGTTTCCAATAGGTTTTATGTTTGTTTTTGATTTTTTGAGACAGGATCTTGTTCTGTCTCCCAGGCTGAAGTGAAGTGGTGCAATCATGGCTCACTGCAGCCTTGACTTCCTGGATTTACGCTCTCCTCTTGCCTGTTCACTCAGCCTCCTGAGTAGCTAGGATCACAGGTGCACACTGCCACACCCAGCTAATTTTTTTTTCTTTTTTTTTGTAGAGAGGAGGTTTCACTATGTTTCCCAGGCTGGTCTTGAACTCCTGGGCTCAAGTAATCCACCCACCTTGGCCTCCCAAAGTGCTGAGATTACAGGTGAGAGCCACTGCATCTGGCCTCCAATAGATTTTAAATAATATTTCTTTGTTTACAAAATTATTTTGTTTAGTAGTGACACTTTTCCTTTGCAAACCACAAGAGAACATAACAAAATTTAAATATAAAGCACTCACTCCAAAGTTGGGCTGGAATTGAATGCAGTTGTCACCGTTACTTTTAAGTTAAGATATTTTGGAATAGTGATAGGAGAGGGGAGTATTAAATTAGGAGACAGTGTGTTGTTGAGCATGTAAACCCCAAATGCTATCACTGCCTTATATATATGGGGGTAGAGTTAAGTGAATCCATGGAAATAGAATATGTCAAGATAAAAGCAAACTAAATATTTAAAAACATTTGTTTATGGTAGATAACTAATTATTAAAGGGAAAAGGATTTCTGGAAACAACTGTCACATTCTCTTAGCCCCTTATTACCCCACCTGCTTTCCATGTTTGATTTGAAAAGGAATAAAACAAATGGATAAGCCAGTGATGGGAATCCAGTGAGAAATGACTTTGTATGTCTGTGCTGGCCCCAAGCCTGAGGAAAGCTCTGATTCTGTGTGCAGCATTTGAAAATGTTAACTCTCTGAAGACTTCCTGGAAAGAGGGGGATTGGAGAGAAGAATAAGGAGGGAAGGAGTGAGAAAAACATAATTAACTTCCTGCATCTTAGCTAGAGAGCAGAGAGCAGCACCACAACCGTCTCAGGCCATTAGAGAAGGCAGGCGGGCTGGAATAGAGCGTGAGTAGCATCTCAGGGTGGCTCTGAGAGGCAGCATATACAATGGCTTGAGAGCATGGAGTCTGAATTCAGGCTGCCTCTGGTCATGAATCCAGCTCTCTCTCAAGGGTTAGCTGTTTGTCCTTAGGCAGATTATTTAATTTTCCTGGGCCTCAGTTTATTTGTCTGTAAAACTGGAATAATAATAGATTGCTATGAAAATTAAAGTGATGGTTTCCAGCTTCATCCATGTCCCTACAAAGGACATGAACTCATCATTTTTTATGGCTGCATAGTATTCCATGGTGTATATGTGCCACATTTTCTTAATCCAGTCTATCACTGTTGGACATTTGGGTTGGTTCCAAGTCTTTGCTATTGTGAATAGTGCCGCGATAAACATACGTGTGCATGTGTCTTTATAGCAGCATGATTTATAATCCTTTGGGTGTATACCCAGTAATGGGATTGCTGGGTCAAATGGTATTTCTAGTTCTAGATCCCTGAGGAATTGCCACACTGTCTTCCACAATGGTTGAACTAGTTTACAGTCCCACCAATCATTTTCTGCACACTATCGCAAGGACAAAAAACCAAACACCGCATGTTCTCACTCATAGGTGGGAACTGAACAATGAGAACACTTGGACATAGGAAGGGAAACATCACACACCGGGGCCTGTTGTGGGGTGGGGGAAGGGGGGAGGGATAGCATTAGGAGATATACCTAATGTAAATGACGAGTTAATGGGCGCAGCACACCAACATGGCACATGTATATATATGTAACAAACCTGTACGTTGTGCTCATGTACCCTAGAACTTAAAGTATAATACAAAAAAATATATATATATATATAAATTAAAGTGCTTAGAACGATACCTGGGACACTGTAAATGCTATATAAATGCTACTATAAAAAGCAATATTAAAATTACTGTTGTTATCTAAGATAACTGTTTTGGAAGATAAATTATTGTTCATAAAATAAAATTACTGTTATAATAAAAATATAAAAATTATTATTATTAAAAACTATAAAATATATGCAAGATGTGCATTTCTAATCCACAGCTGAGAATAAATTAATTGTGGTTAACTATTAGTCAATTAACTATTTCCTAATTAACTTGTAGGAAAGACAGTGTGATTTAAGGGAAAGAGAACTTGGCTTTAGAGACCAAATACCCGAATTGAAATTAGGACTCCGCAGCCAGTATATTCCAGATTGAAGTCGTCCTCTTTTCCCCAAGGCTCACTTTTTCTCTCATAGATGTTCGTTCACTCAATGGCACCAACATCTCTGGAGTCAGCTGTGACTTTCCCTTCTCCCTTCCTGAATTTATCCCTTGCTAGGTAGAGATAAATGCTGTATGGGGACCCTTCTTGTGACCTGCCTCCACCACCACTGTTCTTGTGTGCTACATGACCGGAGCTTCTGCAATAATCTTCTATTCCAGATTTTGAGTATTCAAACTATATGATATTCTGCTATTGGGTTAATTTTCTCAAAGCACCATGCAAATTTCCAAAGGTCCTCATTTTTTTAACAAAATAAAGATAGTTTTTTTTCAAGTGCTCTAGACTTTTCACAGCATGACCTCCCCCTAGCTTTTCAGCGTTACTGTATGTACCTTCTTGATCCCACCAAACTAAGCCAAATTAACTTCCCTCTGTATCATCATTCATGTTCCTAGACTCCCCAATGTCACTACACAATTCCAAATTTGTCCTTTCTGAAGTCTTTGTTCTTATCTCTGATTTTCCATCATTCTAACCTCCTTTAAGGTACTGTAGACATTCTAGTCAATCATACATTGTAACAATTGGTATTATAGTTACGTGTGTAGACACTTTACTCCATGTCATAAGTCTTTACATAAGGCTTGGGCTGGGTCTTTATCATCTTCATATTCTCCACAGTCCTTATGGAACTTCTTCCCTAAACTCAGTATGCATTCAAATATATGATGACATAATAAATTAAGTTAATGAATAAATGCTATTAATTAACTATATGACCCAGGAAATCTCACTTTTAGCTCAAATTTTCTTATTTATAAAATAATAAGGTTGAAGGAGAATCTTGATATCTGTGTTTCCCTCCAACTTACAAAGGTTACAGTTCTAAATCATCCCATATCTTCACATAAAGAGATACTACAGTATATTTTGAAAAAGTATAAAAAACAATATATTTGAAATAGGTATAAAAAATCTCTTTGAATATAATTACTGCTTTTTTCCCCAGCTTTACACTTCTATTACTTTTAACTCTCTACTAATGTTAGCATAATAAGCACAAATACCATTATTGTTCACAAATTAATATAAAAAAGCCTTTTTCTCAAATAAAGGAATGCATAATGGGCTTTTCAGTGGGTAATAAACCAGCAGAATCTGTTTATACCAAGGTTTTCATGATCTGACAGATTTTCCTAAAATTTAGGGTTGTTGCTATTTGGTAAGAAGTAGGGAGCTTACATCTTTCTGTTTATTTTAATTTTAGGTAAGTTGATTAGTGCTAATGGTTCCTCTTCTTTTGTATACATTTTTTATTTCATCTTGTCAATGCTTTGTTATCAGTTACATCCAGTCTCCTGTAGAGATGCACTATTTCACCATTGCTGTCATAGTCTAGGACTAATGAGACATCTGACAGTTTTTCATGTTTGTGATATGTGTTCTGTATCCTTAGTACACAGGGGATGTGCCCAGATTTGGAGAGTAACTGAGCCTGTGGAATAGCAAGACGCTTTCTAATGGCATTTGACTGTATTTTCAAAAACCGTTATGACAAGGGATGTTACTTTGAGTCATCATTCAGTTAAACAAATAGATGCATGCATTGGGATTCTTGACTTAGTGTGAAAGTTATATTTCACTTGGCATTTGACTGAATATTTGAATTTAAAAGTTTTATTACATAATATACAGGCAAAATAATCCCAGTGCTTATTTTGCTTACTACTTGAGAAAGGCAACAAGAATGAATTTCTGTAATGTGTTTGTAGCAAGACAGGTGTTTTGAAGTTATTTCATCACATTATTTGATTTGTACACATCTGTGAGTTTCCAGGTATAGAAAGATTTTGTTGACAATTTCAGTTCCTTTGGAGGTTGAAATAATTCAACATGCAGCTTATAATTGCTTCTTTACATTGTAAGAATGATCCTCTTTAGTTATAATTGTATGCTTTGTTCCCATTCTTACAATTTTGGAACACTCTTATGCATCAATATATTTTAATATATATATAGGGGAGAGAATAAATTATTAACCAACTGCTTAAGCTTTAGCTCTAAGAACTTTATGTTTATCCTATATGAATTATTTTCAAAATTATTACATAGTTAAGATCATTTCAACTGCAAAACTCATTGACCCCCATCTAGTATACTGGATAACATGAGGAAGTTTGACTTTGCTAATACTTGTCATTTTTCTAAATAGGCAAATTATCCTACCTGGTGTGTTGAAGGGACTCTACTCAATAGCTTGCATTTGGGAAATAACTTTAAGAAGTCCTGTCTAATCCAAATAAAATGCATTCTACATGCAGTTTAAAGATTCTCTTCTGTTCATCCTTGTATTCCCCAGTCTTGGCTTAGGCATAACCCAGGTTCTACAACCGGCAGCATTGAGGAATGGGCCAAAACATGGCCTATTTCTTCACTGGTTTTGTTCTATTTCTTCTACCACTTGTTAGCTGTTGCTTCTGGCTCCTTTAAGATCAGGCAAGGAAGAGGAACTAGAAGAAAAGGGCAAGGTTTAACTTGATCATTGCCATTGGAATCTGGCATTGAGGCCATCAGTTTGTCAGATGTGCAAATAAATGCTGGTTCTTTCTCTCAAAGAATGCTTTGTTGGACTCTATAGAATCCTTCCTACTGCCCTCCCCCTGCCTACTCAGGGATCTCCAGCCCTATACCTTTCTCTGAGGTGGATGACATATTCTCTGGCTGGCCTGAATGGACATTGTCCCCTCAGTTACTGCTTCTAAGAGCATACCTTGCACATACTTGCTATAGAAGGCAGTTTTCCTGAGCTGTGTACTTTACAGATGTCTCAAATCCAGAGACCTTATTCTAGCCAAAAAGAAAACTCAGCACGTTTGTTTTTGTGTCTGAAACTTGGACATGCAGCAGGTGCCATTGCAGCTTTTTCTTGGATATTTGCTATCCCATGCCTTTTTCAGATGACAGTCCAAATTCTAGGCAATGCAGTTGAAGGTTCCAGGAGAATTCTTTTCTATATCCAGGTTCAGTAGTAACATTAAAGTAACCTATGAGTTTCTATAGCTGAATAAGCATGGGATCTGCGGGCAGAGGGGTTAAAAAGAGAGGCGTTAAGATGTTATTCTTTCCTTTGCAACCTATAGTTGTTCAGGCACAATTACTCTAGAATATAAAGCAGTGTGTTTAGATACTTGAACCATTTTTAAATTAATGATTAATTTATATTTAAGGGAAGAAAAATGATCTGTTTTTGTACACACATACACATAGAATCATCATGAATAGCATAATGGTAAATGCATGATGTAAATATCTTGAATTCATGACCCAGGGACCAGTACTGTCATGGGTAATGTGAACATTTTAATAAGTTTCTGAACAAAACAAATGGTAATGATTCTCAACGTACACAATAGTTGTATTCAAAGGAAATTCTTTGCATTTTTAAACCATGCTAGACTTTTACTTCCAGGTATAACTGACTAAATTGTGGTCGTTGAAACCCCCTTCCAAAAGCCAAAGGGTAGGGGAAACTATTCAAAAACATCTTGGAGTCACCAAGGCAGCCAGAACTGAAGGAGCCATGATCCTGGAGAGAAGGAAACACACTATCATCTTCCCCTCAAAACTCTGGCAAAGTCATAAGCAGTGAACAGTGAGAGGCTGGAAAGATGAGCAGAAACTGGTTGCCAACATGGTAAAAAACTCAGCAGAAATTTTGGAAGTCTCATAGTGCTAGAGGGATAGAGCTAGAGGTTAGGTTTTGCCAAGGAGGGAGGGACTCAGGCTCTCCTTTGGGACCCTGAAGGCCTGTTTTCTAGAAATAACAGAAATAGACCAGATTGTAAACACTGAGCCTTGAATTAACTCAATATCCAATTTAAATCCTAGCCAAATTCTAAAACAAATCCCCTTTGGAGAAAAATAACAATGTTGAGAGTCTCTACAGATTTTTATACCTAATGTTCAGCATTAGATACAAAATTATTAGGTATACTGAAAAATGATAGCAAGAAAAAACAGACAATGGAAGAAGGCCCCCAAGTGATATAAATATTAGACACAGATAATATATTAAAATAACATAATTTTATCAAGAAAATAGAAGAAAAGATGTAGACTTTTATCAGAGAACTATGCCCAACACACACACACAGACATAAACACACACACACACACTCTCTCTCTCTGCTCTAGTGTGAATGTTTGTATACCCCTACAAATTGATCTGCTGAAATCTAACCCCCAAGGTGGTAGTATTAAGAGATTGGGGCTTTCACAGGTCATTGTCTTGAGGGCTGTGCCCTCATGAATGGCGTTAGTGGCCTTTAATAAAAAAAAGTTTGAGAGAGACTGTTTGCTCCTTTCACCATGTAAGAACACAGCTGGAAGGTGTCATCTATGAGGAACAGGTTCTCACCAAACACCAGATCCGCAGGCATGTTGATTTTGGACTTCCCAGCCTGTAGAACTGTAGGAAGAAATTTCTGTTGTTTGTAAATTACCCAGTCTAAGGTATTTTGTTGGAGAAGTCAGAACAGACGAAGATGTACACATATCTATGTATATGTTATTAGTATTATAGTATTATATAAAACAGAGTTAGGTTCTAGGCTCAGATGAACATAAATATAACGTTAACATGAAGAAACAGAAACAGGTTTTGAACCTATATGAGAATGTTTGTTGGGACATTTGAAAAGCTGTGGGATTTGAAAAGATTCTTTATGGTATAGAGCTGTCAGGAGCATTGAAGGGTATCTAGTCTCCCTGCTTGGCCAAATGCCCATAGCACCTTAGAATCATCATGAAAACTGAAAACACTTCCACAGGATTTCCAGATACTGTGTAGGGACAGTAATGCCCCTGTTGAACACTACTGCTCAGTTGCTCAATCTAACACATTTTTATGGGTAGTGGTGAAGCCAAAGAGTTGTGATAGTTACACAAATCTGCATAGATCATACAGCTGGTTATCTACAGAGATGATGTTTGAACCTCCACCGCCTAACTTTTAATACTAACTTCTCCAACCCTCTATTCCACTGAACTTTAAAAATTCTTGAGAAATCTGATTTTGATTTCTAGGTTAATCAGAAATTTGAGGATTTTTGTGTATATGCCCACGTAAATGAATGACACGAGATACGTGAAAACTATTAGTAACTGAAAACCAATAGTTAATTTTTAAACTCCCTTTAATATGGTAATGCAAATTCCTTTCCAAAATTCTAAAGTAGGTTCAGACTTTTGCTGAGAGTTTAAAGGTCTGAAAACATCTCACCCTGCTTCAGCTTAGGGGAATCACAGGAATACTTCAAAGACCTCAAGTTTGAAAAATATCAGAAAGTCCTACTTATAGTACAGTTCAAAGCAATCATAGGTGAATCATGAGGGATTTCTATGGAAACTTAGTATCCAAATATATTTTTCCTTTGAAATTCACACAGGCTTCTAAATTCAGTTATATTATCATTTTTATAAATTCTTTCACAACTCCACTATTCTTCAGCATCACCTGAAATCATACCCTCTACTCCAGCTTTAATGTTGAGATATCTGGCGTCTTACAGCCTTCTGAGATATGTTTTCCACGCATTTGCCCTCTGCTTCTCTTACATGTGGAAAATAGAACTTGCATGAAAGATTTGATCTTTCTCTGTAACTTCACATTTGCATTTTTATTACTCCTGTCTCAAAAATGTTGGTATTACTGTTTAGTATTAATGGTTCTTTATTGATAATACTCAAAATTAGTGAATCATTTATTGTTCTGGGTAGGTTTGTATGCAAGCTATACTCTGTTTCTTATTTTTTTCCTCTGACCTAGTAGATTCCTAATATCTGCTAGTGATTTATATAGTATTATACATATATGCACACATACATACATACATACATACATGCTAATAATATATATTAGTACTATATACATATATACTAGTAATATGTATATACTGTTGATATATCCAGGCATACTTTGGAGATAACGCAGATTTTGTTCCAGACCACTGCAATAAAATGAGTCACCTAAATTTTTGGTTTCTCAATGGATATAAAAGTTATGTTTCCACTCTACTGTAGTATATTAAGTATGCAATATGATTATGTCTAAAATTAAAATGTACATACCTTAACTGAAAAGACTTTATTGCAAAAAATGTTGATAATCATCTGAACCTTCAGTGAATTGTAATCTTTTTGCTGGTGGAGAGTCTTCCCTCAATGTTGATGGCTGCTGGTTGATCAAGGTGGTGGTTGTGAAAAGTTGAAGTGGCTGTGGCAGTTTCTGAAATAAGACAATGAAGTTTCCTGCATTGATTGACTTTTCGTTTCATGAAAAGTTTCGCTGTTGCATGAGATGTTTGATACCTCATGTAGAACTTCTTTCAAAGTGGAGTCAATCCTCTCAGACCTTGTCACTACTTATAAACTAAGTTTATGTGCCATTCTAAATGCTTTGTTGTCATTTTGGCAATGTTCGTAGCATATTTACAGCAGTAGTTTTCATTTTAAGGAACTCTTTTTTTGCTTACCCATAAGAAGCAACTTGCTCATCCCTTCAAACTCTATCATGAGTTTATAGCAATTCAGTAACCTCTTCAGACTCCACTTTTAATTCTAGTTCTCTTGCTATTTCTACCACATTTGCAGTTCTTTTCTCCACTGAAGCCTTGGATTCTTCAAAGTCATCTGTGAAGGTTGGAATCAATTTCTTCCAAACTCTTTAATGTTGATATTTTTACCTTCTTCTCCTATGAATCACAAATGTTCTTAATGGCATCTAGGATGGTGAATCCTTTCCAGCGGCTTTCAATTTACTTTGCTGAGATCCATCAGAGGAATCACTATCCATGGCAACTATAGCCTTACAAAATGTATTTCTGAAATAATAAGACTTGAAAGTCAAAATTACCCTTTGATCCATGGCTTCAGGGGTATTTTGTTAGCAGGAATGAAAACAACATTAATCTCCTTATACATCTCCGTCAGAGCTTTTGGGTGACTAGGTGCATTGTCAATAAGCAGAAATATTTTGAAGGAAATCTTTTTTTCTAAGCAGTAGGCCCCAACAGTGGCTTAAAATATTTAATTAAATTATTAAATATTTTAGTCTGGTTTAACATATTTAATTAAATTATGCTATAAACAGATGTGCTATCATCCAGGCTTTGTTATTTCATTCACAGAGTGCAGGAAGAGTAGATTTAGCATAATTCTTAAGGGCCCTAGGGTTTTCAGAATGGTAAATGAACATTAACTTCCACTTAAAATCACTAGCTGCATTAGCCCCTAAAAAAAAGGGAATCAGCCTGTTTTTTTGAAGCCAGTCATGACTTCTCCTCTCTAGCTATGAAAGTACTAGATGGTGTCTTCTTCCAATAGAAGGCAGTTCATCTAGATAGTAAATCTGTGGTTTAGTGTGACCTCCTTCATCAATCATCTTATCTACATCTTTTGCATAACTGGCTGTAGTTTCTCCATCAGCACTTGCTGCTTCACCTTGGACTTTTATGTTATGGAGATGGCTCTTTCTTTAAACCACATGAACCAACCTCTGCTAACTTCAAAGTTTTCTTCTGTAGCTTCCTGACCTCTCTCAGCCTTCATAGAATTAAAGAGAGTTAGGGCCTTGCCCTGGATTAGGTGTTGGCTTAAGGGAATGTTGTGGCTGGTTTGATCTTCCACCCAGACCACTCAAACTGTTATCATATCTGCAGTAAAGCTGTTCACTTTCTTATCATTCCTATGGTCACTGGAGTAGCACGTTTAAGTTCCTTCAAGACTTTTTCCTTTGCATTCACAACTTGGCTAGCTATTTAGTGCAAGAGGCCTAGCTTTCAGCCTGTCTTGGCATTTGACATGCCTTCCTTACTAAGCTTAATTGTTTCTAGCTTTTGATTTAAAGTGAGAGACATGTGTCTCCTCCTTTTGCTTGAAAACTTAGAAGCCATGGTAGTGTTATTAATTGACCTAATTTTAATATTGTTGTGTCTCAAAAATATGGAAGCCGAGGGGAGGAAGAGAGATGGGGGATTGCCCAGTCGGTGGAGCAGTCAGGACACACAGCCTTTTTTGATTAAGTTTGCCGTCTTACATTGGTGCAGTTCTTGGTATCCTAAAACAATTGCAAGAGTAATATCAAAGATCCCTGATCACAGATCACCATAACAGATATTAAAAGGATGAAAAAGTTTGAAATATTGTGAGAATTACCAAAATGTGACACAGACACACAAAGGGAGTGCATGCTGTTGGAAAAGTGGTGCCCATAGACTTGCTTGATGCAGGATTGTCACCAACCTTTAATTTTAAAAAGACACAGTATCTTCAAAGCGCAATAAAGTAAAATACAAGAAAATGATATCCTCTTTCTCTGTATGTATATATCACTAGTGCAAGAGCTTAGTAAAGAGCACCCCTACATACCTATAGAAAGTAATTACAAGGCCATTTAATTCATTTTATACATGTACACAAAACCAAACAATCTCACATTTGTCACAGCCTCAGTGAATTCCATCTCAATGAGCTTTGCTGAAAGGTACTGTACCCTCCAGAGGGGTTGACATTTACTTGCTAGACCTCGGGGTATGCCAGGGAAACTTAGGAAATTGTGGATGCCAGTTGTTACCCTTCATTCACTTGCTATTTAGCAATGGCCTTGGTAGTAATATATCTCTGAGAGTGAATTTTCTTCATTCCTCCATTCAACAAATATACTTGAATGCGTGCTTAAATGCAAGGCTCCTCTATTGGTGTATATGTGACCATAGGTTCATATTCAAATATTTCAGTCCTTGACTTTTTACATGCTTTTTGGAAATCTGCAAAAATATTATTTCAGTCCTAATTCTTTGCTTGAGTTCTTTCATGTAGCTGCACCATTGAAGTGAACCATGTATAGTTCACAGCAGCTGTGAAGATAGATTTCAGAGATATCATGAAGGCCTCTGACTTCCCTATATCCTTACCCTCATTTTTCCTTTCCTACCAACTAACAGATGCTTCTCCTACCAGCTCATGGGTGTGATTGTTCTATTTGGAATTGTTTATACGACTCAAGTTTTTGAAGTGGAAACTGAAGCCTATTATTTGGTTGCACATTAGTGTGAATTTGCCATTACTTTCAGGAGAGCATGTGTTGATAAGAAGGTGAAGGATTCTGGTTACTTTGAGGAAGGAAGTGCAACCATTGAAGGAAGCCAGGAGTACCCAAGCCATCTAGAATAGATTCTGCTGATCACCATATAAATTACTGGTTTAGAGAGCTGTTACTGGAATTATGATTCTCCTCTTTTATCTCAGGAAGAGACAAGTATGTCATCTAATTGACTAATTAGGCTGATGCTTAGACTTTCAGTGTGTGCTGGTCCAGGCTAGAGGAATTCACTTAGAATATCAGATTCAACAAGGATTTTTTCTTTTCATAACCCAGAGTGAGAGTTGAGTACTCTCTCACCCTGTGGAAAAAGAATGGTAATACATTTTTTTCTTACTTTACAATAGCCTTATATTTTTATTAATTATATATTTCTCTAAAGGTTAGTGTTGAAAGTGTAGATTCTAGAGTCAAGTAGCCTATTTTCAAATCCTGGCTGTGCTACTTACTAATAGTGTGACCTTGAACAAATTAGCCTCATTGCACTTATGTTGCCTCAAAAATGCAGAAGAAGAATGGGATCTAACTCATAGGGTGATTGTGGTGATTAAATAAGAAAATACATAGTTGGGCATGGTGGTGTGCTCCTGTAGTCCCAGCTACCTGGGAGGTTGAGGCAAGAGGATGGGTTGAGCAGGAGTTCGAGGCTGCAGTGAGCTATGATGACTGACCCATTGCACTTCAGCTTGGATGACAGAGTGAGACCCTGTCTCTTAAAAAGGAAAGGAAAGAAAATATGTAGATATAATCTAGCAGTTTGTGGAATGTTAGCATTAACTATATTAAAGTTTCATTTAACAGTTCCTTTATGATTTCATACAGCTTCAAAATATGGTTGATTAGCACCCACTTAGGTGTTATTTAAATGCTTTACTTATTCCTCTCTTTTTCCTTTCTTTCCTTTCTTTCTTTTTTGAGGTGGAGTCTTGCTCTGTTGCCCAGGCTGGAGTGCAGGGGTGCAATCTCAGCTCACTGCAACCTCTGCCTCCCGGGTTCAAGCGATTCTCCTGCCTCAGCCTCCTGAGTAGCTGGGATTATAGGCACTTGCCACCACGCCCAGCTAATTTTTGTATTTTTAGTAGAGACGGGGTTTCACCACGTTGGTCAGGCTGGTCTCAAGCTCCTGACCTCGTGATCTGCCCACCTCAGCCTCCCAAAGTGCTGGGATTTTAGGCGTGAGCCACCACACCCTGCCCATTTAAATGCTTTTCAATGGCTACTGACTATAGTATTTTCTTTATCCTTTTGCAATGCAAGGTATGATAGCTGTTTTCTGAATATATTGGTTCCAGAGAATTACTTGCTCTTTCAGATAGTTTTCCACCAGTGGCACCTTTATATGACAACATTGTACACATGTGGTTGTGTGTCAGCTGTTTGTTATATCAACCTGTTAATCCTACATTCCTTAATTTAAAACAGATGAAAACTGTGACAAACGCATAAGCTGAATTAATAATTGCCCAGCAAATTTTCCTTTAAACTTGCAAATATACAGTATCCCAAATATTCCCACTAGTGTAATCATCTTTTATTTTCACCAAAGTAGCTTTACAAAAGACATCTTTCAAACAACTGTTTCAAAGACTAAGTTACTACTTTCTTTAATCAACACTTGCTGTCCTTCCAAATGAAGTCTAAATCTGTTTACTTAGACCTGGTCTCTGAACCCTTATAAGCATGTCTGGTATATATTTATAAAGTAAAGCTATTATTAAAAAGCTATTATTAAAAGTGTTTGTAGTAGACATAACTTGGTGTGGTTGCCTTGCTTGCAATAACTTCCCAGGTGGTCATGAATATGCTGTTTGGGTCACTGATTTCACTCTCGGCTGCGACTGAACAGGGCAGGCCAATCATAGTGCCTCCTTTCAGCTCACAAATGATTGTATTATTCAAAAGGTGGTGATAACATCCAAATCAAACTTGAGAAAAAACTGTTATTTTAATTTTTAATTTTTTCTTATCAATAGCAGTATGATGGTACTTCCAGTACCCCAGTGACATCTAGCCTGAGAAAGAAGCAGAGATAAAGTCTATAGAGGAAGAGAGCATCTGAATGACGTTTGAGTCCCTGGATCCACTGTGTGAAGCCAGAGCCACTCCTGCAAGTGTTTTGTTTAGGTTTAAATTTGATTGAGATTTTTATTACTTCAAAGTAAAAAATTCTTACTAATGCAATGCCTTCAGCCTTCAACCTCAAAGTCACTGAAAGGATCTTAATATTTTCAATGTATATATTTATAACTTATAATTTAATGTATTTATATTATAAATATAACTTATAATTTAATGTATTTATATTATAAATATAACTTATAATTTAATGTATTTATATTATAAATATAACTTATAATTTAATGTATTTATATTATAAATATAACTTATAATTTAATGTATTTATATTATAAATATAACTTATAATTTAATGTATTTATATTATAAATATAACTTATAATTTAATGTATTTATATTATAAATATAACTTATAATTTAATGTATTTATATTATAAATATAACTTATAATTTAATGTATTTATATTATAAATATAACTTATAATTTAATGTATTTATATTATAAATATAACTTATAATTTAATGTATTTATATTATAAATATTATTTATAATTTAATGTATTTATATTATAAATATAACTTATAATTTAATGTATTTATATTATAAATATAACTTATAATTTAATGTATTTATATTATAAATATTATTTATAATTTAATGTATTTATATTATAAATATTATTTATAATATAAATATAATTTATAATTTAATGTATTTATATTATAAATATTATTTATATTATAAATATAATTTATAATTTAATGTATTTATATTATAAATATAATTTATAATTTAATGTATTTATATTATAAATATAATTTATAATTTAATGTATTTATATTATAAATATAATTTATAATTTAATGTATTTATATTATAAGTATAATTTATAATTTAATGTATTTATATTATAAATATAATTTATAATTTAATGTATTTATATTATAAGTATAATTTATAATTTAATGTATTTATATTATAAGTATAATTTATAATTTATATAAAACTTATAAATATATTAATATTTTAAATATAACTCTTACTAGCAATTTGAGACTGCAACACCTATGTCAGTATTTACCTAGTGTAGAACAGATAATTTACAACTTTTGTGAAATCTCCTACCATTACGTGTGTAAACTACAGTGGTAATGTCTCAAGGAAGGGTGAACTTAAACTCAACATGCATCCTTGCTGAAGGGTCAAAAGTAGCATAGATCTAGGTTCAGATCCTGATGACAACGTATTGCCTAGGTGACCTTGGCCTGTCATTTACACTTTTCCTTTGTAAATGAGGATTGTAATGACCCCAAAGTCTGGTCACGAGGGGTAAATGATGGCATAATGAATAAAGGAGAACTTAATAAGCTTTTTTTTTCCAGGATAAACATACATCTTTCTGCCCTTTTGTTGGCATTCAAACCTGTGTTCAGACTTTCATTCTGCTACAAAATATCTTTGTATAGGCAGAGGGTGGGTTGGATTGCAGCTGATCTTGGCAGCAGATCATAAGAACTTTTATGTACCTGGCCTTTCAGTTTACTGGGATCTTTTCACTGTTATTCAAGCCCTAAGCATCTGAGCTGAAGTAGTTGTCTGATTGTTCCATTGTCATGTATTCCTTAATACCTACTTTCCATAGTTCTGTACAGATGCTTTTTATGCAAGTAATCTTTGACATAGAGACAGAACGGCTGAAAATAGATTTTCCCTTAGCTGAAACTTCTCCCAGGCAATTTAATTCTTTATCATCACTTTAGTTTGTTTTTCTAGTTTTCTTTTGTTATTTATCCCTAATATTGAGTCTAATGAAGATGCGAGTTTCAGTTTTCCTTCTCTTTTCCACAGCTAGACCTCCTCAGCCAGTAGGAAGCTCTACCCTTCCTCATTCTCTGATCATCAGCACCCCAGACACCCATTATTAGCAGATTCTAGTCAAGGCATGTGCTTCCCTTTGATGCTTTTGATTCACTAGTCCCTGACACATTTTAAACGCTGAATAAATGGTAAATATAATTTTCATCACCATAATTGTCAGGCATACCATGTTTACAAGTGCTAAGAAACGATAGATGAACTGACATCTCTCACCTCCTGGGTCACCAGATTCTATTTTTCTACTAATCTGATTGGTGGAGTGAGTATCTCTTTCTTTCTTCTCTATACCATGTTTGTCTTATCTGAAACAGTTCACTCAATCAAAAAGGATTACCTTTTTTTTTTTTATAGAAGAAGACCTTCTTTTCTTTACCACATGAGTATATGAGTTAAGATTTTCTTCTGCTAGAATTTCCAACAAGATTTAGCAGATCCACAGCTGTTAGACCTGTAGCAGTTAAACTTAAAATAATTCCTTATTAAGTCACTAAACCTGAATGTAGACGGTCATGTACAGATACTAGTAATAACCCTGTAAATAAACTCTCATATATTTTACATTCTTGATAAGAAAGAATAACAGTCAGTTATGATGTTTCTCCTTGGAAATATTTCTCAAGTTCAAGAATGGTTTTATTATTGCCTTTCTAAACAAGTGGAATATTTGGATGAACAGGTAATCAGTAAAATGTCCTTGCCTTAGTGCTAATAAACTTTGAAGAAGAGTTTTCAGCTGCTTTGAAGAATTTTTTTTTCCCGTCTGATACCTTGGAAGTAATTCAAGTTGTAATTTTCACTGTTGCTATAGCCTGGCTATCACTTTAACGTGAAGGAGCAAAAAATGAAACTTGATAGGAGTCATCTATCAGAATAACTAGATCCAAGAGTTCAAAGGGGAAGCAGAAGAGACCAAGAAGAAGTGATTTTTTCTGTCAATTATACTGTGTTTTATCTGAAATGTTATGTATTAGGAAGAACTGTGTCAGATGTTGGATTCTCTGCACTCGCAGACACACATCATCCCTACCTTTCCAAGCCTTTTTTTCAACTTCCTCCTAGTGGTGAAAAGTATGTATAGCACTTGTGAATTACCTTAATAGTCACTGCTTATCTATTGAGTTGAGGCATGTGTTAGCTATCATGCAAATTTAGAAAATATGATGCATGGTAACTATCACTTTGAGCAGTAGTATGTCAAAGTAAAAATAATGAAGAGAAGGAGATGTGATGTTGGAGCCAGTCCTGGAGACAACTAAAATGCCTCAGGTGGTGAGATATTTTGGCATTACAGATAGGTTTCTGGACCAATTTATCATAATCTTTCTTAGGACATCATTATATTTCAATCAAATCGAGCAACTTTATGTCAGGCAATTTAAAGAAGACAGCCCTATTTGTCTTGTGTAATAAAATCAGCAAATAAAGAGGTGATACCAATTTGTTGATTCCCCTTTGTTCAACAGTAGGCCCAGGGAAAATGCCTTTCGGTGCAGGTTTTATTTCCACTGATGAGTCCACCTTTCAGTGAATGCGATGCTCAAGACTCTCTGGATCATTTTTCCTGTCCTGAGGACAAGGATAGGGTTGAATCTGAAGTCATCATAGGTACATGATGGATATAATGCAGCACCAGCAGCATCAGTCTGTGAAGAGGGCTAAGCCTTTCATTATGCCTATCTTCAGCTGCCGTTTTTCTCAGTAAGCTGGTGCCTCACAGGACCATCCCTCTCAATTCTGCTACTTTGAAGTGAAGTCAGGAGACTTATCTTTAATTAGTTTATTTAATCCTAATGTTGGTTCATGAAATGTTTGTGGAAAGACTTAAAATCAGTTTATAGTATTGGCAGTTGTGGCTTTTAGTGCTCTGATGAGCATGTTGTGTTACAACGAACTATTAGACAATTTGAAGAATAGTTTGCTTCAAATTAGAGTGTATCAATACTTTCTTAAGGGGTTGCACCTGTAGTTTTAGCCATCAAATAATTATGATTACAGTAGCCCCCTCTTATGCATGGTTTTGCTTTCTGCTGTTTCAGTCCCCCACAGTAAGCTGCATTCTGAAAATATTAAATGGAAAATTCTAGAAATTCAGAAATTTTGAATTATGCATTATTCTGAGTGTGTGACTAAATCTTGTGCTGTATCAGTCCTTCCTACCTGAGACATGAATTATTCTTTTTTCCAGTGTGTCCATGCCATATATGCTCCTGGTCCCTTAGACACTTACTAGCTGCTTTGGTTATCAGATTGACTGTCACTGTATCACAGTGCCTGTGGTGACTTGACCCTTGTTTTATTTATTGTGGCTATTTATTGTGGTAACCCATATTTTACTGAATAATGGTACCAACACACAAGAGTAGTGATGCTGGCAATTCAGCTATGGCAAAGAGAAGCCATAAAAAGCTTTCTTTAAGTGAAAAGGTGGAAGTTTTGAGTTAATAAGGAGAAAGAATATATGCTGAAATCACTAAGATCTATGGCAAAAGTAAATCTTTCATCCACGAAATTGTGAAAAATGAAAAAGAAATTCATGCTAGTTTTGCTGCTGCGCCTCAAACTACAAAAGTGCATGCTACCGTGTGTGTATAGAAAAAACACAGTATGTATATTGAGTTCAGTACTATCAGCAGTTTTAGGCATTCACTGGGGGTCCTAGGACTGTCATTGTCTAATTATATTTATTACTAAAATATAAAAAAATGTACAAAGATTTCTTGAGTATCCTGGCTTCATTTTCTGAGGAAGCTGACTCAACTGGCTAAAAGGGACGGCACTTTTCCTTTGTAGTTGACAAAATGGAGGCCTAAGTGCAACTGGGTTGATTCTTACCTTATGAGTAAGAATCACAATTTTAACAAGTTGTATTAGTTTTCTGTGACTGTTAAAACAAACGATCACAAATTTGGGGTAATTTATTCTATCACAGTTCTGGAGGCAAAAGTCAGAAATCAGAGTCACAAGGCCAAATCAAGGCTGTGCTTCCTTTAGAAGCTTCAGCAGAGTTTATATCTTACCTCTTCCAGCTTCTGGTAGCTACCGAGATTTCTTGTCTTATGGTCCCATCACTGTAGTGTGTGCTTCCATAGTCACATTGCCATCTCCTCTTTTATCTGTTATAAAATCTTCCTCTGCCTCAGTCTTATGAGGATACATGTGATTGTATTCAGGGCCCACCCTAGATAATCTCAGATTATCTCCTTATCTCAAGATCCTTAACTTGATCACATTGGTAAAGACCTGTTTATTTTTTGTCATATAAAGTAGTGCTCATAGGTGCTAGGAATTAGAATGCAGATATCTTTTGGGAACCCATTATTCAGCCCACTACACAAGTGTCACCAGGATGTTTAATGGATAAATAACATGATCAAAATTACTAACAACAGTGCTTTTCAGGAATTAGCAACATTCTTTACTAAGAACATAGAAAATCTAAGGTGGCAAATTTGGGGGCAGTTTGGCATGTGAACTAGAATGTTAAAAAATACAATTAAAAATGAAACTTGCAGACTTTGTATAGATTTGAGGTTGTCTGGAATAGTATATTTAAATTTTTATAAATTTTAGATAAGGCATTTGTTGTCTGTCCACAACTTTGAATGTTTTCCAAAATCTAGAGCTTGTCTGCTAGGTCACTATATTCTGTTCTGAGGATATTATTTGAGATGAGAAGGTTAAAATGGATATTTTTCCTCATCAATACATAGATTAAATATATATTGGCATGTTCTGGAAGCTATAAAAAACACTCCACCAAAATTGTGAGTTTTTTCTCACATTAAGGAACTTATATCTTTCATCATTATAAAAAATTTTGTTTTGACCTAGAATTGATCCTTTAGTTTGTATATTGATCCCAGGATCCCTTTGTCAGATAATCTGACCCAGAATCTGATATAGAGAGGCAATTACTGAGTTCCCATGTAAAACTACAGCTCTCTTCCTGATTCTACCTGTTCTATATCACATCTCTTCTCCATTACATATTATCCAGTTCTGAGGCCTTATGATTTGGTTCTTATAGTCATGGATTGCTCTCCTACAAACTAGTGGCTGACTTCTTTATTGTCTGTCTGTAGATATACTTGGGCAGTGACTGCTTCCCACCCTTTAACTTACCTGCCTCTCCAAGGTGTCTTGAAATATTATGTTTCTTTCTTAATTTTAATCCTCAATTATGGCAAAGTGAAAAATAATAATGTGAAGAAACTCAAACACTATGGTCAATAGCTTGAAAAGTCTTATTTCTCCTTAGTTGAATGATGAAAATGAATTGTTGAGGCTATAGTGTTCTAGATATTGGCTTGTTAAATGTTGAATACAAGAAACAGTGATTTTACTAGCCTGTGTTTTAGAAAAGACTAATCCACAGACATTTATTAATTCATTCAACAAACAAGAGTATTTCATTTTCCAGGACATTTGCTAGGTGATGGGGGAAAATTACAAACAAAAACAGACTTGCTTTGTGCCCTCTTGGAGCTTACATGCCAGTATGGAGGGTCAGATATTAAGTAGTCACAAAACATTACACATTACAATTTTGAGTGATAAAAGACCTATTCCAGAAAACGTTAGTGCTTGTAATTGGTTACTCAGCCTAGTTGAAGAGAAGCATTCAGGGAGAGTTTCCCTGAAGAGGCAATATCTGTATGGGAATTTGAGAGATGAATGGAAATTAGCAAAATGGAGCGAGTGGAGAGCATTCCATACCACGGGCATATGCGCAAACATCCTGTGGTGAGAGGGGGCATGGCATGTCAAAGGAACTGTGAGATTGGAATAATTAGAAGTATCACAGTAAGACTGGAAGGGTAGGTAAGAATCAGATTATATTAGAGTTTATATGCCTTTTAAAAATTTAGTCTTGCCAGAGAGTCATAGGAAACTATTGAATACTTTCAGCAGAAGTATCATGTGATCAGATTTGTTTTATTTTGATTAATCATTTGATTAATTGGATTGTTCATTATTTTACTCTAAAGTAAAGTAAAATACTCTGCAGTGAAGTGTTTGAATACACAGGTAGCTCCAGTTACAATGTTTGCGCCTCATGCTGGTACGCAGTATGCCCACAGCCATAAACCTGTTTTCATTGTTACTGTTATTTTCTAATTTCTCAGAGTTTTATTTATTTTTAAAGGTATTTTTATTTTATTTTATTGTGGTAATAACACTTAATATCAGATCTATCCTCTTAACAAACTTTTAAGTGTTTAAGACATTGTTGTTGACTATTGGTATGGTGTTGTACAGCAGATCTCTCTAGAGCTTATTCAGCTTACTTAACTGAAACTTTTTGCCCATTGATTAGTATCTTCCCATGTACCTGACAGGGGAGACAGCATGATCAGATTTATGTTTTAAAAAGGCCACTCTTCTGTGTAGAGACGAGTTTGTAGGAAAGCAAGAATGGCTGTAGGACACCTAGTTAGGAAACTACTGCAAAAATAAATATTAAAAAAAATTCACTCTACTATTCTATATTCTTCGATTTCATGTTTTTCTGGTTTCCTTCATTGTGCCTGAATGAATATGTATTTGTTTAAAGAACAACAAGAGATTCATGAATGAATAATTTCAGCTATGGCTTGGTGCAGGAGACTCAGACCAGCTATCCTCTGTGTTTTCAGTGTCTCTGATGTTTGTCATTGATACCCATATTATATCGAGAAACTCAAAAGTTCTATAGCATCATAAAAATACAGAGACATAAATGTTCTAAATACAACAAATCACTCATTGGTGTAATAAGGAAAGAAATTACAAAAGTTATAGGAATATAGGGCAGACATCCCATATCTCAAATCCTTGTGGACCAGTAAGTGATTAAGCAAAATTAAAGGTCTGATTAAGATGGCAAAGGGTATAGAGATTCCTGAGGTTCTTGGTAATTATGCAATAGAAATTTAATCCAAATTGTCAGGAAATTAGTCTTTGAAGGATAAGAAGATGATAACTAGGTCAGTTGACAATATGGTATGAATATTTTGTCTGAGCTTAAGAAGAGGTCATTCTAACTGCTTCATTAAGACTCAAATATTTTATTAAAATAGAGATATTCTAAGAATGTCAAGCTTTAGGAAAAAATCTAGGAATTACAAAAATATATTTTAAGTTGAAAGTGCTTGTTGCCCATCCAGGAACTGAATTGATAGCCACAAATATATACAGTTAATATTTCTGCTGAAAATTATCTTAAATTTACCACAAAATATATAACATATTGCAAGCTAAAACAGAAGCTTTGAAGTTTTTCTATGTTTGCTGTTTGAGTTGGATTCCATGGCATGTGGGTGTCTCAGTCAGAAGTATTGTTAGTGTGTCCTCCTGCTTAATGAAGGGGAGAGTGGAGGCAGCAAAGATTTGCCTTGATTGGCTTCTATCAGAACTAATATTTTCCTATTTTTTAATTTGCAGAGATCAGATCCAGAGCCTGACAAGTTTATTTACTTGGAGAAGCAGATTCTAGGTTCTAGAAAAGAAGGCTGAAAATACAACTTTAAGGGAAAGGATAATCTGATGACTAATTCTCATTTATCAAAAAGCCACTTTGCCTTAGATCTATCTCTATAAACTCCATGCTTCACCATAAAATCCTTCTAACTTTATTGAAAAAAGGGGGCCACCTGGCAAATAACACCAAGAGTATTATTTCTGGGTTCATTTAACCCAACGACAATTATTTATCTTACTAAAATCCATTTCTAGGTCTACAAACCTATTGTGTAGTTCATGAATACATAGGCTTTAGTCCTAGATAGTTGGAGCAGATCCTGGCTATACCAATTGTTAGCCATAAGCCACGATTAATGTACTTAAGTTCTCCAAGTTTCTCATCTTTAGAATGGGGATAATAGTGCTATTTACTTTATATAATTATTGGGAGGAGGAAATGGCTTCATAAATATAAAGAACTTAGCAAAGTGAATGACACATAATAAACCATAAATAATTGCAGCAACTGCTTTTATTAGGAAGTCTTCCAGATGTTTGTAATATTTGTCCAGTTGTCATCACAGACAGAAATAAAAGAATAAAAAATTTCCATTGAGAATTACGCTAATTATATAAACATAATGCATATTCTATGAAACTAACAGATTCTCAGAGGTAATTATACAATTTTAGGAGAAAACATTATTTTAAAATTTACCAGTAAAACATTGTTATAAATATCAATAAAATATTGTCCAACCTACTGAAACATTTAGAACATTCTCTTCACTTTTCATAGCCATGGACTATGAAAGTGTTATGGCATATTATATGTTTTTTGTTATATTCAAAAATAGTTTATCCTTGGGAAAATATTAACTGTGGTAGGAAATTCTACAAAGTTAGTGACTGGAGGGAATAAACCTAATGCATATGTTGAATATCCTAGTGTTTTCTCAATTTGTTTAAATGGGATAAATCGTGATATTTTTTGAAAAATGCAATTTATATGAAAATGTAATTTGTAGACATTCAGCAGCCCATTCACATGGTAAAAACTTGTCATAAATCCCCCAAAAGTACAGTCTTACATTCTCATGACTATTTATCAAAAATGGAATATTTTTCTGTAGACATGATAGACAACTTAGTATTATACATTTGGGGTTTTTAAAGATTCATATTTTGTTTCAGAAACAGGCTATTATTTCTGATTGACTACTTTGGGTTTTAAAACCAATATTGTCATTAGCAAAAAAGTATACCAAGTTATGTAAGCATAAACAAAACCAGGCTATATTTGAACAACACCTCAAAGGAAGTTTCTCAAGAAGTGATTTAGGTAATTTAGAAAATATTTTTTTGTCTCTGATGTTTTGATATGTTACATATAGATGCAAGAATTTAATTGCCTTTGTGTTTAGTCTGTTCTGGCTGCTATAATAGAATACCATTTACTAGGTGGCTTATAAACAACAGAAATTTATTTCTCACAGTTTTGAAGCCTGGGAAGTACAAGATCAAGGTGCAGATTCAGTGTGTTGTGAGGGCCCACTTTTTTGTTCATGGATGATACCTTCATTCTGTGTTGTCACATGGTGAAGAGGCAAGGCAGCTCTCTGGGGCCTCTTATTATGGCACTAATCCCATTCATGAGGGCTCTAGCTTTATGATCTAATCACTTTCTATAAGCCCCACCTCCTAATACTATCACATTAGTGATTATGTTTTGACATATGAATTTTTATGGTGACTCAGACATTTGGGCTATATATAGCACCTTGGATGATCATTTAGAAATCACAAAACTAAAATCCTAATCCCTTTATTTCTACAATGCCTTACAATGTTTCTCTTGAGATCATCTGCTTTACCTCTTCTTAGGTAATTAATCCCAGAGAAGGTCTTCCAGGTATTCCTACCTACTCCACATGAAAGTATCTGCTGTTGACTGTATTTTAAAGGAACCATATTATAGATATTTGGCAGTGTCTGCCTCACCTACCATCCTTTTCTGTATCACATGGTCCCCACCCTTTAAACCCTGACCATTGTTGCTTGGGCCAGAGCTAGACTGAGATTCATTCAGTAAGACCCTTTTCTCTATTACTTAGAAAGTGAGTTTTTGAACCAGTAATCTGTTGCAATTTCAATGGCTGACTTTTCATTTTTGGGTAACCCTCTTCCAAAATCTTAGAAAAAAGGATACCTAATTTTCAAAGAGAGAAGGACTAGACAGATTACACAAAGAAAAGCAAGCATGAATTTCATGAGTCCCCAAAAGGAAAAGAGAGTAATTTTATTTCCTGACACTTTGCAGCTGCTGATTGCAGTCCCTCAGGAGACCCAAGTATTCATGAGTTCTATGAGCTTTTCTTGTATGCTTACAACAAATTTCTTTGTAGCTTAAGCTATCTTGTGTGAGTTTCTGCTATTTGCAACCAAAGTGCCTCTATTAAGGAATAAATTGAAGTCTATGGCCTTATATGGGGAAAAACGGTGGTAAGGGTGGCAGGATTTTTCTGTATGAAATTGTGTAAGTTGAAATTTATATATCCCTCAAAAGCATCTGAAACAGGACATTTTGGTGAATGGCACAAAAAGCAGGTGTGAATAATAATTTTAGGAATTGCCGACCACTGACAAAATGTGAAATGATATTTTATGTACCAGGAATGTTTTGTCAATCTTTGAGGAGGAATATAAAGAAATAATTTATGAAGCATGAAAGAGAAAATTGCCCTCTCCCCCTCCCCCTCCCCCTCCTCCGCACGGTCTCCCTCTGATGCCCAGCCGAGGCTGGACTGTACTGCCGCCATCTCGACTCACTGCAACCTCCCTGCCTGATTCTCCTGCCTCAGCCTGCCGAGTGCCTGGAATTGCAGGCGCGTGCCGCGACGCCTGACTGGTTTTCGTATTTTTTGGTGGAGACGGGGTTTCCCCGTGTTGGCCAGCCTGGTCTCCAGCTCCTGAGCGCGAGTGATCTGCCAGCCTCGGCCTCCTGAGGTGCCGGGATTGCAGATGGAGTCTTGCTCACTCAGTGCTCAATGTTGCCCAGGCTGGAGTGCAGTGGCATGATCTCGGCTGGCTACAACTTCCACCTCCCAGCTGCCTGCCTTGGCCTCCCAAAGTGCCGAGATTGCAGCCTCTGCCTGGCTGCCACCCCGTCTAGGAAGTGAGGAGCGTCTCTGCCTGGCCGCCCATCATCTGGGATGTGAGGAGCCCCTCTGCCTGGCCGCCCAGTCTGGGAAGTGAGGAGCGCCTCTTCCCGGCCTCATCCCATCTAGGAAGTGAGGAGTGTCTCTGCCTGGCTGCCCATCGTCTGGGATGTGGGGAGCGCCTCTGCCCCGCCGCCCCGTCTGAGATGTGAAGAGCGCCTCTGCCTGGCTGCGACCCTGTTGGGAACTGAGGAGTGTCTCTGCCCCGCCGCCACCCCGTCTGGGAAGTGAGGAGCATCTCTGAACGGCCACCCCGTCTGAGAAGTGAGGAGCCCCTCCGCCTGGCAGCCGCCCCGTCTGGGAAGTGAGGAGCGTCTCTGCCCGGCAGCCGCCCCGTCCAGGAGGTGGGGGGCAGCCCCCGCCCGGCCAGCCGCCCCGTTCGGGGGGTGTACCCAACAGCTCATTGAGAATGGTCCATGATGATGATGGCGGTTTTGTCGAATAGAAAAGGGGGAAATGTGGGGAAAAGAAAGAGAGATCACATTGTTACTGTGTCTGTGTAGAAAGAAGCAGACATAGGAGACTCCATTTTGTTCTGTACTAAGAAAAATTCTTCTGCCTTGGGATGCTGTTAATCTATAACCTTACCCCCAACCCCATGCTCTCTGAAACATGTGCTGAGTCCACTAAGGGTTAAATAGATTAAAGGCAGTGCAAGATGTGCTTTGTTAAACAGATGCTTGAAGGCAGCATACTGGTTAAGAGTCATCACCACTCCCTAATCACAAGTTCCCAGGGACACAAACATTGCGGAAGGTGGCAGGGCCTTCTGCCTAGGAAAACCAGAGACCTTTGTTCACATGTTTATCTGCTGACCTTCCCTCCACTGTTGTCCTATGACCCTGCCAAATCCCCCTCTCCGAGAAACACCCAAGAATGATCAATAACTACTAAAAAAATTGAAAAAAAAAAAAAAAGAGAAAATTGCGTGGGGATTTCTTAGGGTAATTTTTACAATTAGGAATTTTTGCCTCTGATTTTAGAATCTAACCCCTTTGTGTAAGGCATGACTCCACTGCACAGTCTCAGAGAGAATTTAAGTAATGTCCCTAAAGTCACAGCAGGTGTTTGCTAGAACTGAGATCAATTCCAAGACACATTTTGTCGGCTACTTTTTTATTCTGCCTCCTCTGGTGATCCTAAACCTTGGAGTGTTGCCAGGCTTGACTCTTATAGGAAGTACATTTTTCAATTAGTGATTTGTTCAAAGAAAGGATATAAATAAAGGAAGCTCTGACATTCCTTATCTACATTCCTTGCTCCTTTTAGGTATTCATCTTCTACCCATCTCTGCTCTTTCCCAGGCCCACGGCTACTACAGAGGAAAACACTTGGGCATTACCATTATTTAGTAGCGTGTAACTTCCCACCACCCATCTTTACTGCCCCTTCCTCTACTTTTCTTGTGATTCTGCCAGACTAGAAGTCATATTTGAGATATTTTAAAGTAGGATGGTGACATTGGGAACCTTCAAAAAAATAGAGGCTTGTGGTATAATTCTTCTTTGTATACTGTGTAAGCTAACAGCTATAAGTATTGTTATGAGTAAATGACCACCTTTGTCAGCTATCACAATTAAAAATTGAGGCCTAGAGACTGAATATTTCTTATTATTTTAAATAAAGCTGATAGCATTAGGAGATTCCAGCATAATGTTTTAAAGTGTGTTTAGGTGGTTATCTATAGTTGATGATGACAAATGAGCACAGCTTATGGCTCTTTTCATATGAATTGATCCATGCTAAAAATACCAGTATAGCTCCTATTGCAATATGTTGTGAGCATAAGAACAATGACAAATTTAGGATGATTCAGTTACCTGAGCTGTAGCAAGAAAACAATTAGCCTGTTTTTGAAGAATATGAGAATAAACACCATAGCTATTGTAATGACTAAAATATCTCTGACAGAATTACTATAATTTTCTTCTCTAAGAGAAATTCCCTACTGTATGATTTGGGGGTCATACTTGTAGTGCCAGAGATCAGTTTAGGTGGAGAGATAGCAAGCAAGTTTCATAAGTTATTATTACTTCCAAAGTCTAGCAGGAAAAAGGAACAACATCAGAAATAATTGATAGGGAAGGGATGAGAGAGATAAAAAGAGATGGACTGGGAAAAATTTAATGACTCTTTGTGGCTTTACATCTGTCACAGTTTTTGTGCTACATTAAAGTTTCATTATTTTCACATTTTGTGTTTTCATATTTTTTCATCTCCTTCTTTCTGCTAAATTTACCAAGTAATACAATGTAGATAATGGAGAGCTATTTCTACAAATGTCATTGAATCTGTTACTGGAAATGAATAAAGTGTTTCACTGATGCATTTCCTTCAAAATGCATTTTCAATTAGCAGGAGAGGATTTGTGTACAAAATATACTCTTTACAAAATTACATAAAAATAACTTAATATGAAAAAAATGGAAACCTAAAGTGATGAATATGTGTATCTTTGTCTCTGTTTAATTTCACTGGATCAAATGATTGTGTCAACCTGCATTTACAAACTTTATTTTCTTGTGATATTTGGAATTTACCTAGAAATACACTCTACCTCAGCTCCTTGACCTTTCACTTGACATGGCATGCATTTTAATTATGATTTCAATTATTTTCTCCAACAGATTAAAGATATGTTTTGTATGAATATTTGAGGGCATTTGTTGAATGATTTTCATAACCATGTATTTGCATAATTATCTTGGAGTGAATCTTCATTCTGAGTTAAGAAAGAACAGTGATCCTGTTCTGTTTCCATGACTGAATCATCATGTAACCTCTTGCAAGAACTTGCATTTTTGGTGCCTTAGTTGACTCAAGTAGAAGTGAATGGGTTTTAATAGCTTGCCTGAGGCATGTTTGTCTCATAAATGTGTGGAGGCACGCTGTAACTTAAGATGCTGTTACTTCAAACAAGCACTGAGCTTCTACATAACTGTTGCAGGAAAAGCAGGAGGGAAGGGATCCACGTCTTCATTCACCATTTCTTTCTTTTTATGTTTTTATTTTTGTCTCATTTTTTAAAATTTTAAGCTCAGGGGTACAAGTGCAGGTTTGTTACATAGATAAACTTGTGTCGTGGGGGTTTGTTGTACAGATTATCATCCAGATATTAAGCCTCGTACCCATTAGTTATTTTTTCTGTCCTCTCTGTCCTCTCACCCTCCACCCTCCAAAAGGTCCCAGTGTTTGTTGTTCCCTTCTATGTGTCCATGTGTTCTCATCATTTAGCTTTCACTTACAGGTAAGAACATGTGGCATTTGTTTTTCTGTTTCTGTGTTAGTTTGCTAAGGATAATGACCTCCAGCTCCATCCGTGTCCCTGCAAAAGGACATGATCTCATCCTTTTTTTTTTTTTTTTTTTTTGAGACGGAGTTTCACTTTTGCTGCCCAGGCTAGAGTGCAGTGGAGTGATCTCAGCTCACAGAACCGCCCCCTCCTGGGTTCAAGTGATTCTCCTGCCTCACCCTCCTGAGTAGCTGGGATTACAGGCATGCACCACCATGCCCAGCTAATTCTGTATTTTTAGTAGAGATGGGGCTTCTTCATGTTGGCCAGGCTGGTCTCAATCTCCTAACCTCAGGTCATCCCCCCTGCCTCAGCCTCCCAAAATGCTGGGATTATAGGCTTGAGCCACCACACCTGGCTGATCTCATTTTTTATGGCTGTATAATATTCCATGGTATATATGCACTACATTTTCTTTACCTAGTCTATCACTGATGGGCATTTAGGTTGATTCCATGTCTTTGCTATTGTGAACAGTGCTGCAATGAACATATGCATGCATGTATATTTTTGGTAGAATGATAATTGATATTCCTATGGGTATATGCTCAGTAATGGTATTGCTAGGTTGAATGGTAGTTCTGTTTTTAGGTCTTTGGGTAATCACCACACTACTTTTCAGTATGGTTGAACTAATTTACACTCCCACCAACAGTGTATAAGCATTCCGTTTTCTCCACAACCTCATCAGCATCTGTTATTTTTTGACTTTTTAATAATAGTCATTCTGACTGGTGTGAGATGGTATCTCATTGTGGCTTTGATTTGCATTTCTCTAATGATCAGTGATGTTCAGTTTTTTTTCATATGATTGTTGGCTGCTTATATGTCTTCTTTTGAAAAATGTCTGTTCATGTCCTTTGCCCACTTTTTAATGGGGTTGTTTTTTCTTGTAAATTTGTTTATGTTGCTTGTGGATACTGTATATTAGACCTTTGTCAGATGCATAGTTTGCAAACATTTTCTCCCATTCTGTAGGTTGTCTGTTTATCCTGTTGATAGTTTCCATTTATTTCTTTTACTCCGTATCTTGCCATGTACACAACCCTGCTTAGCTTTGGGAATCATGTAGGACTTTGTATCTTCAGGTGAGAATAATCTGTTTTATACATTTTCATTATCCCTCTGGTCTGGCATAGGAAATATTAATTAAATGATCGCTAAATGCATTTTTGAATACTACATCTTTAATTCAACTCTGTTTACTTGTCTACATTCAAAGAAATCTAAAATAGCACCAATCACACAAAGTGCCTGTTGTTTCTAGAAAAAAATGAAAGAATTCCTCAAATTCCATTGCCATTTGTATTACTGATCTAGTTCAGAATCTATTTTTTACTTATCCATGTGTTACAGGTTAAAAGATGGAGATCCAGTCTTATGGAGCTAAATGATGGAAAAAAACATGATATTCGAGTTGAGAACTAAGCTTGTCCTCATCAGGCAATATTGTTGAATAACATCACTTTTTAGCCTATTGCCCTCTTTTAGGGTGGCTTTTCATTTAGATATCATTCTCTCATTTTTTGGATTTCAATAATGTTTTTTAATAAGTGATATTAATTGTTAGCATCCAGTCTGCCTCTTTTAAGAAAAACTAAGGTGTATTTGCTGTATCTTTGATTACAGGTGAGCAAGTTTAAAAAAATTAAGAATAGGAATCCTTTTATTGACATCTATTTGGAGTTTCATATTGCATCGTATGAGAAAAACTATTATGTGATATCAAGACAATTTGCTATATTCATAAACTGTAGCTTATTTTTGATTGCTTTCAATAAACATTTATAACTTTTTTGATGCCACTTAACTTTTGTGCAAGAAGATAAAACATGGTTAGAGCTACTAGGGTTACAGTGTGCACTGTGGCTTACCACCTTCATATGTAATGGTCACAGTCATGTGTACCTGTGCTTGAACTTTCTAGACAGCTGTTGTAAAATTGAAAGAGCTATGTGTTTGGAGTTGGAAAACTGGGTTGAAATCTAGGCTCTGTTTCATGTTAGCTTTATGGTTTTGGTTAATTCCATTTTCTTTCTGCAGCCTCAGTACTATGTTATGTCAAAAGCAGGCATATTTGTGTTAGGCTTGTGAGATAATTCATGAAAAGCACTTGTAAATTCTGGAGAGGTTCCCAAATTTAAGACATTAGGATTATTATGAAATGTGTAAGCAGTTATTGGTATTGAGGAAATGGAAAGTACTTTCAATGAAAATGCCATGCCAGCAGAGAGCTTGCCAGAATATCTCACCCAGGGCTTCTTTGAAAGCTGGCTTCCGGCTGGACTTAGGTACTTGATTGACAGTATCATGCTTGGAGCACTACATAGCCCTGCTTCAGTGCTCCCACTGCGTTTTCACACAGCTTGCTCATTGTTAATTAAACTGAGCCAGGAATGTCAGCATTTATTAAGCTGGACTCCGGACAAGCATGGAACTGTGAAAGCTAAAAAGAATTTAAAATTTGTGAAAGGTTATTTACAATACATAGGCTTTGAGGTTTACATAACTTACCTTCTTGTATATTATAATTTAAAATAGGACTCTTACCCAAACAAAGAAAATGCAAAAGAAATGTCCAGCTTTGCTAATGCTGATGGGCACATGGGTCTTTCAGTGCCATTGAAGCATTTAGATTTTTATCCACAGGAGGCCTGCAGTCTTCACTCAGCTGGAACAAGTGGGAAAGGATTTCATTGATAACAACGTTAGAGCCAGAACGTCTAGAGTCATTTTCATCTGCATTATGTGTTTTACTTTCTTCACCTTTAAAATGGAAAAAAAAGGAAAAAGCTTTGTTCCTTCTTTTTATTTTTTCCTAATTGAGTAGCACAACTCACATCTTGAAAAGCTATTGACAGACTCCCATTCCTTTGATATATTTAACCAGAGGAGGCTCTCGATGATGAGAGATCATTTACAGATACTTTGAAAGGTGGGAGTTAATGGAAGTGAGAATAAAAGGAGAAATTAGTTTTATTCCTTACTATGACTTCCAGTTAAAAGATTTTTAGCCTCATCTGAAGGAAATGTGCTTCATTCACCTGCCTGGTGATTACTGATGAATATTGACCTATGTGTTTACCACACCAGCATTAATGTGTCTTGTTTTTTCTTTATGAACATTTCCTTATTTGAATCATTAAAGGCAGATTTAAGAGGGGTTTTCCCTACTCATTCTTAAAGCAGAACACAATTTTAAGGTGTCTGTATAGAAATAAATTATACTTTGATGCTTCTCTAATAGCCAAAGGTAAAAAATTGACAATTTCCTTAGAATTAGAAAGGGATGTACTCACACTTACCAGTATTTGTAAAAAACAAATATTTTTTAAACAAATTGACTAGTCAGTGACACACAAGCATATGCCAGTGTGTCTGAAGTTTACTTTAGGGGCTCCTGTGTGACATGAAAGTGTTACTATCAGCTTCACATTTTTGCCTGCTAGCAGCTCCAATTTGTGCAAATTTAAAGGTTTAAATTTGTTGTATATATAAAGGATATTTTAAAAAACATTAGACTGCAGCTTATTATAATTCAAAATTATAATGAGTGAATTATGCACACTGAATTACATTAAAATAATCTCACTTAAACCATAGAAACAAATGATATATAATTGTTTTACACAGTTTTGCTTAATTTTGTCATAAATCAATTGGAGACCATTCTCTTACATTTTGTTTCTTGCCTCATATAGGACAGACATAACATTGGTGCTTTTCAATGCTTCTAATTTTCAAAGTGGTTAAAATTTATTTTCCATTTTAGCAATTTTTAGGTACTCAGCCTATTTATAACAACCAAAGGGAGAAATAAAATGTGTCTTATGAAGAGACATGCATTACTGGGCAAAATATATGGCGATTAGAAAAGTCTCTCTGAATCACAAGGCAGGGATGGCATTTAGTATCCAAATCCACCTCCAGACAAAATTAGCAAAGGCTGCAGTGAAGTTAAAGCCTGCTGGTTGCAAAATTGGAATTTGGTTTCCTTGGGCTTTCTGTAAACTCTTCATTATTTTACTAAATCATGGTTCATTAGTAAGTTAACAGACAGAAGACCAGTGCACATTGGGATATATGTGGAGCCAATCCTTCCATCTCCCTGAGCATCACTTAAAACTTGAATGTCACAGCAGCTTAGACATTGCATCAAACTGCATTTTCATACAATGCTGTACATGGTCAGTGGCAGATCATATTCACTTAACCTCCAAATACTGTCAGGTATCTTTGTTTTATCATGAATTTCATAGAGCAGCAAAGGTTTTAATTCGGGGCGACTGATGGAACAAATAAAAAATCTCGAAAGGCATCTGAGAAAGAAACTTGAAGAAACTCAGTTAAGAGACTCAACTAAAGTAGATTTAATGGTTCTCATTAACTTGGATCTAATTCACTGGAGGGGAAAAATCCATAGGGACGTTAGGGCCTTTAAATGTGCTTCTGAAAATGGTTGGACAAACTGTAGCCTTGGCACATGAGATAGTCTTGCTCAACCTAAGCAAATGGCTTTGACTCTCAGACCAAAACAATTCATTTTATGCAGTTCATATCACAGGGAAGTATTTCTGTAGTCTTATGACTTGTGAAAAACACTAGCTAGGAAATGTATGTAACTCCCAATGACTCACTAGAAGTTATGGTATATTTCTACTTTGGCCTGATGGTCATTTCTATTACTCAGCGGATCTGTTATTAGTTGTTGTCTAGACGATCCATTACTCAAGTCTTAACGTGTGTTTCATATTCTGAGAGTGTTTCATATTCAGTGAGTAGGCCTGTCAGATGAAATAAAATAGGATGAATGTTTAGTATGAAAAGGATTGAGTTTGATAGAAAGAAAAAAACATGTAACTATGGATTGTACATTATTTCCAAAAGGTCAGTGTAGTAGCAGCTAGTCTCCAACAATAAGTATCAAAACAAAAATGGTATTTTATGTAACACTTATTTTACATAGGAGAAAAAAACAATGACAATGATTTATCTTGGCTTTCTTGAGATAAAATATTTTTCATTTTTTTCCCTCATTTTTGTTTTAGTAGCATGTTCCTTGCATTTATTTAACAGTTTCTAGGTCAGCCTTCCCTATATCATTTTCTCATTTGTTTTCACATAAAGTTTTAGAGAATTTTATGAAACACAGCCTGCATGCTGGCAGGTGAAGACACAGCTGTCTGATCATTGCACTTTAGTGTCACCTGATAGATCCAAATTTATTGATTGGAATGAGATGTTCACCACAATTTTTAAAACCCCTAGTAAAATTGTATTCAATAACAGACAATGGAACTATATGTTTATTTATATTCAGGCTGCAGAATTCCATTGTCATTAATTTTTTCTTGATATTTTAATAAATGGATGAACAGATCTTTTGTAGAAACTTATTCTATAGAGAAACCTCGTTGTAAGGTAAAAATTGCTCCATCCTTTCTGCCTTCAGAAAATTAAGCTCTTTCTGTTTTAAATTACGAAGAGGAGATCTGGTCCAGAAGGAACCCATGTTTCAAAGATATCTGGGAGTCTGAGATGGTCGATGGGCCAAACTGGGCTTCTTCTGGTTTACGCCTAGAGAGGCTTATGAGTACTCTACTATACTGGGCTCAAATTTAGCTAAATTTTAGGTTAATGATTGAGATTCAGGTGGGAGAGAGGTTTGAAATGGCCTTGAGACCTGCACCATTAGATGTGTTTGATTTATTTTGTTAGGCCTTAACAAGAAAGATGCCATATCATGCATTAAGTTTCTGTCCATTTTTATTTTGGCATCCTTATCAGTGCATAATTTGTTCTTACCTGTCCTCTATTTTCCTTCATACACTCCCTGAGAAAATTCAATGGCACTGTAAGTATAACTTGAAAATATTCTCAAATAGTAAGGTAAAAAAAGCTAATATAAAATACTCCTTGCATAAATCAGGCTGACTTTTTTACATTTATGCTTTTGGCACTATTATTTAGATTACAACCTTTAAGCAAACAAGGATAATGCAAAGTTTAACTTTTATCCAATACCATGTGATTAAACCTTAATACATATTGACTATTTTTACCCATTAACATAATCTTGTTTACCCAAGTGCAAAATTTTCTTTCTTATTTCTTTAATTTACACTATGTGCACTTTAAAGTGGAGTCAATAGGAAACCTTTTTTGTGCACTTACTTTTGGAGATTTTTACTTTTATCAGTATTTGCCCTCTCCTTTACCAGTCTTATTGTCAAAGACATTACTCTGCTATTTTCAGCAGGATTATTTTTCAGGTTGCCTTTTGGTTGCTAACTACCTTGTTTATAAACATCTCAAGAAATATTCTTCTCTTGTACAGAAGTACATAGTCTGTACTTCACAACTAAATGCCTAAGGGAGCTGAGTGTGGATGTTTTCGATCTCAGATCTCTTGACACAATGAATTTATCAGCATGCACATGTTCAGTTTATGGGGCTGTGCCACACTTTGATGGATTCTGACCTAATTATTTCTTCAGTAACACCTAATCTGCAGAGAAATATTTTTGTCTTGTTCTCTGAGAACAGCTACCTAATGAAACAGTTAATCACCTTCCAAATCAAATGCAAAAATTTCAATTAACAGGCCTGCAGAAATGGAAATTATAGGTGCTACATCTAAGTAGGAAAGTGAGTGAAGTATAGAACTAGTCAAACCCATTGAATAGGCAATGGATAATAATAATCTGTTTAAAAGAGAAGACTCTAGTTGATATTTAAAGAAAAGACTGAGTAGAATGCAGAATACCATGGGAAATTCTTTATATACAACATTTTTAGGGTGGGAGAGTGCTGAATACAGTGAGAAATTATTCATATTTCTAGGGTGAGATGCAGAATGATATGAGAAATTCTACATAGGTAGCATCCTTCTTTGTTTTAAGAGGTCCTACATCTCAAGATGCATAGGGTCATAAACTGAGTTTTCTCATGATTTCTGAATATTCTGGCTCCCATATGCGTGTTTTTTCATCATTAGTAGATAGACATCGGTTTGTTGTTGTTTCAGCTTTTTAATGACAGGAAATCACTCTCCATAGAAGGTTAAAGGTAGCCCACTGTGTCTGTAGAGTTCTCTTGGAATCACTTAGGAGAACTGGAAACTAAGAGGCAGAAACAGAATAGAGGGAGAGAAAGGTCTGGTGAGATAAGCATCTTGAAAAAGTAATAGATAGGAAGAGAGAGTGGGCCAGGTAAAAGGTTGGTTTCAGACAGCAGAGAACTAAGAATCTTGGACTATGGACTTAGGCTAGGGTGAGACAATGTAGGACTATAGGAAGTGTACTAGGCTAGGACTTAGAAGGAGTGCATTCTGGGCTTGATGCTGCCACTAATGATTTGTGTGATGACTTTGGGCATATTATTTAATTTTACTGGCTCTCAGTTTGATTGTCTGTAAAACAAATGGAAACACCAAATAATTTCTAAGTTTCATCACAGTTTTAAAATCTGTGATTCTATAGTATGTCTCATTTTCAGCTCTTAAAAGGAATGAGGCTGCTTAAAGAACATTAGAATTAAGTTGAGAATGAATACACTAGATCAATCCTTTTGACGCTGATGGTTAGTTAGCAATTTAACAACTGGAGTCAGCAAATGAATTCATGAGAGAGATAAAGAGAGCACTCACCAAATATTCTATCAAGAAACACTTTCTGTTTTATGTGCTGGCAGTAACAACAGATTAGAAAAGTTACTTAAGTAACTTGTGCATTTAAAAAAATGTTTAACAAAGGAATGCACTCATTTTAGATTTCATGTGACTACTTTTATTAAAAAGTCATACTTGCACTTGGGTTGAAAGACATTTTCCTGTCTTCTTCTGAGCCCTCCAAACTGTTTCAACCTCTGCCTGTTACCCAGTTCCAAAGTTGCTTCCACATTTTCGGGTATCTTTTTAGCAATGCCCCACTCTCTTGTTACCTATTTTCTGTATTAGTCCATTTTCATACTGCTGATAAAGCGCTTAACAAAATAAACAAAAATGCTTAGAACAAAAGCACTAGAAACTTCATTTTACTTTTTTGCAAAGGAAATTATATTCATGTTGAAATTCTATCAAAAGTATAAATATGGTGCATGTTCTCACCCCTCTGAAAGCAAGTGTTGGAATGCAGACTCTATCTAAAACCAAATCCCCTAGATAGTTTAACAAAATATAAATGGGGAGAAAAATAGGTATTATTCAGAGGAAAATTGAAATTCAACTTGTACTATACTGCATCGAGGTGGCAGAAACAGCTGTGGAACAGCTTAATCCTCGTGACAAGCCCAGAACTCTACAATAACGGCTGGCACTGTCTGATGAAATTTCCAAGGACCCAGATGCCACAGCTGGGAACATTATCCTTGTGTTTCAGATCAAATTGACACAGCAAATGGCATTTCATTCTTAACTCTTTGGTATCTACAATGAACTTTCCTCAAAGAATTGAAATATTCTATTATTATATAGGATAAGTTGCCAAGGGTAATGGGGAGGGATGAATGAAAAGAATAATACTTTTATTAGAAAAAGAAAGTGAAGAAGAAATTGTAACTATGGCTCAAAGAAGGAAAAATAGAAAATAAGAGTGATTTTTTAAAATGATAAACTACAGAGGGATAGAGGAGTTGTAACAACATCAGGTTGATGGATGCCCTAAAAATTACAGGACTATTTATATTTCCTCTAAAGGTTGTATGTTTCTATGAATTTATTCATTTCCTCTAGGTTTTCCAGTTTGTTAGTTTATAGCTGTTCATAAATATCTCTGATGATCTTTTTTATTTCTGTGGTTATCAGTTCTAAGTCTCCTTCTTCATTTCTAATTTTGTTTATTTGGATTTTTTCATTTTTTAGTCTAGCTAGCAATTTATGTATTTTGTTTATCATTTCAAAAAATCACATTTTTGTTTTGTTGATTCTTTGTATTTTTTTCCATCTCTACTTTGTTTAGTTCTGCTTTTCTCTTTATTATTTATTTATTTGTATGAATTTTGGGTTTGTTTTGTTTTTGCTTTTATAGTTCATTGAAGTACATTGCTAGATTGTTTCTTTGAAATCTACCGTTTCGATGTTGGCATTTATTGTATTGTTCCAAACTTCCCTGTTAGCACTGCTTTTGTTGTATCTTATAAGCTTTTGTAATGTTGTGTTTTTATTTTCATTTATTTTTAATAAATTTTTAAATTTCCTCCCTAATCCAGTGGTTAGGAGCATGTTTTCATGTATTTGTAGTTTCTGAAGTTCCTCTTTTTAATTGACTGACTTATAGTTTGATTCCATTGTGGTTTGAGATACTTGAGGTACTTGATAAGATTTCAGTTTTTGAAAATTTGTTGAGACTTATTATGTGACATAACATGTGTTTCATGTGGCAATGAGAAGAGTGTGTATTCTGTCATTGTTGGATAAAATGTTCTCTAAATGTTTTTTAGGTCCATTTGGCCTAATGTGCAGTTTAGATTCAACGTTTCTTTGTTAATCTTTCATCTAGATGATCTATCTAATGCTGAGAGTGGGTCATTAAAATCCCCTACAAGATTGAATCAGGAAAAAAAAAAGAAAACCTGAACAGAACAATAATAATTAATGAGATTGAATTAGTAGTAAATAGTCTCCAAACGAAGAAAAGTCCAGGACTGGATGGCTTCATTGCTTAATTCTACCAAACTTTCAAAGAATGTGTTGGAGTCTGTCTTTCCTTTTAGGTCTAATAATATTTATTTTACATATCTAGGTGCTCTGGTGGTGTTTGCATATATGTTTAGAATTATCATATCCTCTTGCTGAATTAACCCCTTTATCATTACATATTAAAAATTACCTTCTTTGTTTATTTTTACAATTTATGACCTAAAGACTGTTTTATCTAATATATGCATAGCTACTTTTGCTCTTTTTTTGTTTTCATTTGCATGGAATATCTTTTTTCATCCCTTGATCTCAGTCTGTGTGTCTTTATGAGTAAGGGGTACTTGTTGTAGGGAGCAAATATAAATATAATCTATTTTTTAAATCCATTCAGCCAATCTATATCGTTTAAATAAAAAGTTTAATTCACTCATATTCAAGATTATTATTGATATGTGAGGGCTTATTTCTATCATTTTAGTAATTTAATTTCTGGTTGTTTTGTATCTTCTTTCTTCCTTTTTTTCTCTCTCATGTTTGTCACTGTTTTTTGATGGTTTTCTATAGCGGTAACATTCAAATCCTTCTCTTCCTTATTTGTGTGTTGTCTCAACCAATGATTTTTATACTTTCATGTGTTTTCATGATGGTAGATATCATCCTTTTGCTTTTGTATGTAGGACTCCCTTAAACATTTGTTGGGCTGTTCTAATGGTGATGAATTCCTTCAGCTTCAGTTTGTCCAGGAAACATGTTATGTCACCTTCACTTATGAAGGATAATTTTGCTGGATATTGTATCCTTGACTGGCATTTATTTTTCCTTCTCCAGGCTTATGAAGTGTCTGCTGGGAACTCCACTGTTAGTTTGATAGGGGTTCCCTTGTAAGTGACTAGACACTTTCTCTTGCTGTTTTTAGAACTCTCTGTCTTTTGAGAGTTTTGCTATAATATACTATGGATAAGACCTTTTTGAATTGTATCCATTTGAAGTTCTCTGAGTTTCTTGTATCTGCTATTATTTTGTGAAATAGGTTTTTTATCCTTTTTGTTTTATCTTTAACTTCTGGGACACCAAAAATTGAATATTTGGTAATTTATGATGTCCTATATGTCATATAGACTGCTTATTTTGAAATTTTTTTCTTTTATTTTTGTATGACTGGATTATTTCAAAAGAAGTGTTTTCAAGTTGTAAAATTCTTTCTTTTGCTTAATCTACTGTTTTGCTGAAGCTTTCAACAAAAGCTATTTCAACTCCTTTTTTATTGGAAGCTGTTGCTATAGAATTATTATGCTTCTTTGGAGGTGTCATATTTCCTTGCTTGTTCATGTTGCTTATGCCCTTGCATTGATAATTTCGCATTTGGTGTAACAGTGTCTTCTTCAAGTTTTTAAAATTAGCTTTCACAGGGGAGGACTTTTTCCTGAGGATGTATTGATGGTGTTAGTTGGGCAGGGTACTTTGGTTTTGATTCTGGATACGTGCAGTTATGTAGTCTCCATATGATTTCTTTAGCTATAAACAGCATCAGTGGTGTCTGTGGTTTCCTGAGTGGCTTAGGGTCCTGTTGTCAGTGGAGGCTGTGGTGAAGTTTTTCTGGAGATGGTGATGCCAGGTGGACGTGTTCTTGTGCCCAAGTGGTGGCTGTGGTGGGTGGCATGTGCCTGTCTTTGAACTTCAGGGAGGCATATGCTGGCGCTGGTGTTCATTGAAGTGTAATTTACACATAGTAAACTCTACCTTTTTTAGTTAGTATATAATCCTGTGGGTCTTGACAAACATAATCATCTTCTCAGATTGGCTTATTTCTATCCCCTGATCCTCTTATTGCCCCTCCTGCTGCTGTTCTTCCATTACTCTTCTGAACCCCACCCAACATTCCTGTGAATATCTGAAATACATGGATAGGTGCTTTTATAAGTTTCATAGTATTATACCTAATATGAAAAGAAACTGCTCTCTGGCAGATATAGAAAGATGCCAACTCCTTTCTTAAAATTTGATTACTAGGCTTGAATTTGTGGGAGAGTCTTTTGGATTTGCTGCAAACTACAGCATTTCTTTTTAATGTTTATGCTGTGATCTCTGGAGCTGTTGTATTTTATGTAATTTAGTAACCTGCACACTGCAATGCAGACATGGAAGCCATAGAGCCATGTGATCCTTATATACTGTGAATCCTACAGCTCATCTGTTATGGGGGGAGGGAGGATCTTTTTCTGTTTTCTTATGATAGTGTTATTTTCCTACTTTCTCCTGTGACCTTTTTTTTCTCTTTACAGAGAGTTTCAGAATTTCTCCCCAGCAATCCTCTGAGGGGCTCTCTTAACCCTCTCACCTACTCTGCGCCTCAGTAAATTTCTGTTTTACAGCCATGTTACATATATGACCCCAAAGAGAAGAGAGGAGTGAAATAAAAAATAGTATGTTGGCATTTGCATTTAAAAGGGAAATATAAATGTGCCGTATAATGAATACTTTGTGCATTTATCTTAAGATGAACTTGTGGAATTGCTGGATCTAACAGTATTATGGTCACAAAGACATAGCCCCCAAATTGTTCTCCTGAAAGTCTTCACTCTTAAATACCAATCAGTGTATGAGAAAAAAAATTTCACAACTTTCTTGCATTTCTTTGCTTTTATGTTTGTAACTTCCATGTTTAATACAGTTCTGATTTTCAGTAACTACAGAATAAACATTTGCTAAGCTGACTTGAACTAAAGATATCTTTGCCAAAGATATGCTATTTAAGGTAGATATGCTTAATTAAAAGAATAGATAACTTCAAATGAAATGGATATTATTTTCCTGCTAGTCACTATACTATACTATGAAGAAAAATTGCTTAAGATAAAAATTAAGAATCCCAAATTGTGCTGACATAGAAAATACAATTTAGAATAAAATGCTATGTATAAAATGTTAAAGTGATGATTCCCACATAAGAATAAGAGTTTGGCACCATTTTACTAAAATAATTGCTCAGCCTCTGCCGGTACACTTTTCTATTTATGATGACAGGTGTCAATTCCCATTCATTTCTCATACATGTACTTTGGGGATTTTTCTAAAAGTTGATACCATTTTATCATTCAGTGCAATTGTATTCCTTGTAAACACAGTCAACAAAAAAGCTCTACACTAAAAAAAGAATGTCTAACAAAAAGCATAAGATTATTGAACATCATGAGAGTTTGCAGATTTTATGAGCAGTAGTTAAGGACAAGTCCATCTGATTACATTTTGATGAGTTACTCACGGTTTGTGTGGGAGCTCCAGCCTGCTCAATCTTACCTGCTGATAATACCAATTGAATGGCTAGATCCTTATATAGAATGGTTTCTGTTAAGAAAGACTAGGAAGGAAGTTCAAATCCAGAGAGATGGCCAAATTATCTCTGATAAAATGGGACAACTTCGCTTAGTGAGAAAAATCATAGATTTTAAAATTCAACTGTGATTCTGACTTTAGTTGTAGGAATATATGCACCACATGAAATGAAGGGCTGATTTACATGCCATGAAAATTGGAACTCTAAATGCTTTTGTTTAAATTACTGAGGTGGAAGGAGAGAAATAAATAAATGACTGAGGTAAATCCACGTGAACATATGTGTATAGCGCCAGTTTACTATATATTTGTCTCAGGGCTTAAATTGTGTATGTATGTACAGAAATCAGAGTATTATAAAATATAATGGCTTTACATAAAGAATGCTTTACTACAGAAATAAATGAAAAAGTGCTTTTGGGAAAAAGTCCAATGTTTTATTTTAAAAAAATCTGTATGAAGTAACTAAGGAGAAACAGATTTTAAGCTTCTAAAGTCTCTTTGCTTCAGTAGCTTTAGCCACAAAGGAAAATAAAACCTGAGGTAAGAAAAGCAGTCAGACTCAATTTTTAATTCTCAAACAATCTTAGGTTTGGTTCTCTGTTCAGTTTGATAACAGAAATCATCTTTACTTTTGCTTATGCCAGACACCTAACAGAAAATTCCTTTGGAGTCTCTTAATCTCCCTTTTGTGCATTCTTTTCTGTACATTACTTGTTTAAAAGAGTTAACTTTCCTTTTTGTAACCAGGTAACTTCCCTTTAGTACTTTTATAAGCATAGCTATTCTGTGAGTCTGTTGCAGTGACAACCCATAAAAAAAAAAAAAAAAAAAAAAAAAGACTGAAGACTGATGTTAAACCAAGACTGAACAGTAGAAAAAAAAAAATCAAGAAACCATGAACCTCCTGAGACACAACCTCCTTGTCTGAACTATGACTATTAATTTCATTTTATATTTTATTCAGATTATAAACTCCCAGGGCAGAAACAGTAATGTTTAAATAATACATTTCTAAAGAAAATTGGAAATACTTACAAATTGGCTTGTGTGTTGTTATGTTCAACAATATGAACAATTTTATAAATCATTTCAGTTTTGTTACTAAGAAACTTTGGCTCCACACAGCAGATTTCAGTGTCTTCATTACTAATATGAATTTATATTAATTCTTTTATCTAAGTTATACAAGCACATGGATGAAAATTCAAATACCACAGAAGAGCTGATTATGAAAAAAATGTTCCTGAATATACCAATTCCCATCTATTCCTATCCAGGCCTGTTCCCAGGGGCAATAGCTCTAGCTGATTTCCTCCAGTACCCATACAGTTTAGTTATGTTCTTATCAACTCCAGACATTATCCATTTCCTGTAACAATGCATCTGATTTGGCTCATTTTCTAATCCCCCCATGTTTATCTCCCCTGCTTAATGATACTATTTTATTTCCTCAGTTGTCAACCTGTATAACCTTGACACGTTGTTTCATTACCTACAGCCAATATTTCTTGACTCCTTAGTTCATCAAGTGAGAAAATTAGGGCCCCTACCTGTTTATTTCCTTTTTCTTCCCTCCTTCTGCCTCGTACTTCTGTCACTCCAGTTTTATTTTTAAATTAGCAAGTTTGAAAACATTTGCTGTCTGTTCTGTAATCACATTTAATGTTTCTATATTTTTCTTCAAGTTGATGGCTGGTAATTGACATTTATATATTATGACCGTGGAGTATTCCTCATTGGAGAGCCAAGCTGTGTGCTAGGATTTGTTTTCTTTCTCTAGGGTTTGATAACTCTGTTTCACTCAAAGACAGTTGTTCAAATGGGTTTTTCTTTCCTTCTGCAAATCATTTCACATTAGCATTTGCCCCATATTCAGACTGTGTCTACTTTTACAGTCTGTACTGCCCTGGAACCCTGTGCTGGTTTTCCTGCTGATTTCTTATTAGGGAAAGAACTAAGGTTTTTGTTTTTGTTTTTTTTTTTCCCCACTAAAACTTAATGCTCTCAGCTGCTTGTTCATTCTGGGTCTTGCTTAAAATCCATTCCATTTTTCTTAAAATTCATTGATTTCCTTTCAAAATTTGGATTCACTGTGGTTTTATATTTCAAACATAGTTTTATTTTATAATGCCTGATTTTTCATAATTGAGTTTTCTTCTATTATTTTGTGCCTTTTTTATATCCCCAAGTTGTTCCAAGTTGTCAGTCTTACCATATGATCTCCTTGGTCCCTTTTTGGCAGATCTTCCTCCCAGAGTCTGCTGCTTTCCTCTTGTCCAGACTGGTCACTGCCAGCTGTCATCTTGGTTCTTTCCTTCACTGCTATTCTGGTTTGCCTCTTCTTTCCAGAATCCTATGTTGGCTTCTCGTATTTCACTTACTAGTTTTGTTGGGTGCTTTCTCAAGTAACTTCCAAAGAAGAAGTGTTAGAGTCTTGTGTGTCCCAAAATATCTTTAGTCAAAGAGAGAAATGAATCGATGATTTGGCAGCTAAAGAGATTTAAAGGTCAGCAAAATCTTTCTTCACAACTTGCAGGGGATTGGCCCGTTGCTCATTCCCCCCATTTCAGTCTAGCATCCCTTTCCATTCTGAATCTAGAGCTTCTTCAAGGATCCATAGGGTAAGCTCATTCTTCCCTTGACCTTATCCTCTTCTATGCATATTTTGAAGATTTTATCCCATGGTTTCCTCTCCTCAGCTTCTGTCACTTCTTTTCTACTTACTTTCTGTCTTGAAATTTCAAATCTGCTGATGACTCTACTCCCATTCTATTTGCTCTTGGGGGTTTCCAACTAAAAAAATAATTTACTATCATTTTTAGGAAGAAGAGAGGAAATAAATATAATGGCAGGCCTCAATATTTCAATATTTTAAAATATTTTAATTTAAAAAATTTAATATCTAATGACAAATATATTGGTTTATATTTTTGCCTTTAACCCTTACAACAGCTTCCTGAGGTATGTTCTTCATATGTCTAGATGTGAAAACTTGAGAATGGATAGATAACGTAATGTGCCAAACTTTTCTCAGGTACTGTTGGGTGATGTTTACAAACCTGGATATATCTGGTTTGAAATTCCATGCTCATTCACTCTGCCTTGCTGGTTCATATGCTATTCTTATATTAGTAACTAAATTTGTTTCTGGAAACCCTTGAGGAAAGGTATGTCAGCTGGGTGCGGTGGCTCACACCTGTAATCCCAGCACTTTGGGAGGCTGAGGCACACAAATCACGAGGTCAGGAGTTTGAGACCAGCCTGGCCAACATGATGAAACTCTGTCTCTACTAAAAGTACAAAAATTAGCCCGGCATAATGGCGCACACCTGTAGTCCCAGCTACTCGGGAGGCTGAGGCAGGAGAATTGCTTGAACCCAGGAGGTGGAGGTTGCGGTGAGCTGAGATCACACCACTACACCCCAGTCTGGGCAACAGGAAGATTCCATCTTGGGGGAAAAAATAAAATAAAAAAAGAAAAGGTATGTCAGTACAGATTTTTCAAAATGGAAAAGAGAAAGAAAAGCAAACTTCTCAATCACATTCACATAAATCTCTACTTCTCAGGGAGATTATAGTATAATTAGAATATAGTTAGATACATTGTTGCATGATGATGATTTAGGATTATTTGAGATTTGGAGATGACTTCCTAGGTCTCTTCAAAATGTAGATATTGGTGGAAATATTTATATTATTTTAATATAATTAATAAATATGTAATAATAAATATATATCAGGTATCTAATATGGGTAGAACATTATAGTTCATGCTGTGTTAAATACAAAGATGAGCAAGGTGTGCTCTTTGTCATTGATTTAAAGAAAAGTACAAAAATAGTTATAATGGAAAGCAATGTATAGGCATCATAAGAGACATACGATATGCCAAGAAAATTCAGGAAGAGAAGAGAGATAAGCAAGGACCAGGGAGGGACGGGAGAGGGAATGGAAGAAGATTTATGAAGATGCTATCCAAAATGAGTTTTGTTAGATGTAGGAATTTAACAGAAGGGAATGCCTGAGGGAAGAGTATGAGTAAAAGCACTAGTAAACCACAAACATAGTTAGGAAAGAGAAGAATACCCAGGTTTTGTTTATCACTTGGAAAATGCACAACATAAAAAATCAGGGCACTGTACAGAGTAGGCAATCTTTTTTTAATAAGAAGTTATTGATTTATTACTAAGTTATGGGGGGATGCAACAGTGAACCAAGATGACATAGTCACTGCTCTTATTGAGCTCACCATATGTAAAGTGACCAAATAAGGGAATAAACACAAAATGAGTGCACATTATGCTAGTGCCATGAAGGAATAGTGCTGATCTCATGGAGTTCTGTGGAGTACCTGTGCTAACATATGGAAAGCACCTAGAACCTTGCCTTTATTATTTTTGTGATAATTTTTGTTATATTATTAAGAAGTAAATAAACAGTGTGCTACATAGAATAACAAGGACCACCAGCTTTATATACAGGGGTTAGGAATGGTCTTTCTCCAATAACAGGCTCTGAAATTGAGGCAATAATTAATAGCTTACCAACCACAAAAAGTCCAGGACCAGATGGATTCACAGGCGAATTCTACCAAAGGTACAAACAGGAGCTGGTACCATTCCTTCTGAAAATATTTCAATCAACAGAAAAAGAGGGAATCCTCCCTCACTCATTTTATGAGGCCAGCATCATCCTGATACCAAAGCCTGGCAGAGACACAATAAAAAAAAGAGAATTTTGGACCAATATCCCTGATGAACATCGATGCAAAAATTCTCAATAAAACACTGGCAAACTGAATCCAGCAGCACATCAAAAAGCTTATCCACCATGATCAAGTGGGCTTCATCCTTGGGATGCAAGGCTGGTTCGAGATACGCAAATCAATAAACGTAATCCATCATAGGGAAACCAAAGACAAAAACCACATGATTATCTCAATAGATGCAGAAAAGGCCTTTGACAAAATTCAACAGTGCTTCATGCTAAAAACTCTTAATAAACTAGGTATTGATGGGACGTATCTCAAAATAATAAGAGCTATTTATGACAAACACACAGCCAATATCATCCTGAATGGGCAAAAACTGGAAGCATTCCCTTTGAAAACTGGCACAAGACAGGGATGCCCTCTCTCACCACTCCTATTCAACATAGTCTTGGAAGTTCTGGCCAGGGCAATTAGGCAGGAGAAGGAAATAAAGGGTATTCAATTAGGAAAAGAGGAAGTCAAATTGTCCCTGTTTGCAGATGACATGATTGTATATTTAGAAAACCCCATCATCTCAGCCCAAAATCTCCTTAAGCTGAGAGGCAACTTCAGCAGTCTCAGGATACAAAATCAATGTGCAAAAATCACGAGCATTCTTATACACCAATAACAGAGAAACAGAGAGCCAAATCATCAGTGAACTCCCATTCACAATTGCTTCAAAGAGAATAAAATACCTAGCAATCCAACTCACAAGGGATGTGAAGGACCTCTTCAAGGAGAACTACAAACCACTGCTCAATGAAATAAAAGAGGATACAAAGAAATGGAAGAACATTCCATGCTCATGGGTAGGAAGAATCAATATCATGAAAATGGCCATACTGCCCAAGGTAATTTATAGATTCAATGCCATCCCCATCAAGCTACCAATGACTTCTTCACAGAATTGGAAAAAAACTACTTTAAAGTTTGTATGGAACCAAAAAAGAGCCCGCATTGCTAAGTCAATCCTAAGCCAAAACAACAAAGCTGGAGGCATCACGCTACCTGACTTCAAACTATATTACAAGGCTACAGTAACCAAAACAGCATGGTACTGGTACCAAAACAGAGATCTAGATCAATGGAACAGAACAGAGCCCTCAGAAATAATGCCGCATATCTACAACTATCTGATCTTTGACAAACCTGACAAAAACAAGCAATGGGGAAAGGATTCCCTATTTCATAAATGGTGCTGGGAAAACTGGCTAGCCACATGTAAAAAGCTGAAAATGGATCCCTTCCTTACACCTTATACAAAAATTAATTCAAGATGGATTAAAGACTTACATGTTAGACCTAAAACCATAAAAACCCTAGAAGAAAACCTAGGCAATACCATTCAGGACATAGGCATGGGCAAGGACTTCATGTCTAAAACACCAAAAGCAATGGCAACAAAAGCCAAAATTGACAAATGGGATCTAATTAAACTAAAGAGCTTCTGCACAGCAAAAGAAAGTACCTTTGGAATGAACAGGCAACCTACAGAATGGGAGAAAATTTTTGCAATCTACTCATCTGACAAAGGGCTAATATCCAGAATCTACAATGAACTCAAACAAATTTACAAGAAAAAAACAACACCATCAAAAAGTGGGCGAAGGATATGAACAGACACTTCTCAGAAGAAGACATTTATGCAGCCAAAAGACACATGAAAAAATGCTCATCATCACTGGCCATCAGATAAATGCAAATCAAAACCACAATGAGATACCATCTCACACCAGTTAGAATGGCAATCATTAAAAAGTTAGGAAACAACAGGTGCTGGAGAGGATGTGGAGAAATAGGGACACTTTTACACTGTTGGTGGGACTGTAAACTAGTTCAACCATTGTGGAATTCAGTGTGGTGATTCCTCAGGGATCTAGAACTAGAAATACCATTTGACCCAGCCATCCCATTACTGGATATATACCCAAAGGATTATAAATCATGCTGCTATAAAGACACATGCACATGTATGTTTATTGCGGCACTATTTACAATAGCAAAGACTTGGAACCAACCCAAATGTCCAACAATGATAGACTGGATTAAGAAAATGTGGCACATATACACCATGGAATACTATGCAGCCATAAAAAATGATGAGTTCATGTCCTTTGTAGGGACATGGATGAAGCTGGAAACCGTCATTCTCAGCAAACTGTCTCAAGGACAAAAAACCAAACACCACATGTTCTCACTCATAGGTGGGTATTGAACAATGAGAACACATGGACACAGGAAGGGGAACATCACACACCGGGGACTGTTGTGGGGTCGGGGGAGGGGGGAGGGATAGCACTAGGAGATATACCTAATGCTAAATGACGAGTTAATGGGCGCAGCACACCAACATGTCACATGTATACATATGTAACTAACCTGCACGTTGTGCAAATGTACCCTAAAACTTAAAGTATAACAAAAAAGAATGGTCTTTCTGCTAACATAGTATTTATAAACTTGAAATCTGAGAAGATGCTAAGCCATGCATATAAATGTGGGAAAGAGTGAACTGAAGGAATGGAGGATCAAATGCAAGAAGGCAGAACATTTGGGGAGAGGCATACAGGAGGTGAATATTGATCCTGTTGGCTGCAGCAATTAGGTAGGGGAGATATTTATGAGATAAAGTTTTAGAGGCAGGGAAAAGTATAGTATGTACATCTTTGTAGCCCATGATAACATTTAATAAAGATTTATTGTATGGATAAAGAAATGAAAGAATAAAGATCTACTGAACTGTGCCGTAGTTGACAGGTCAGGAGAAGCCTATTATAGCCATGTGTAAGACCCTGAATGCTGGTTTGGAATGAATATCATCAGTTTAATAAACAATGAAAATGTGCTGTAAATATTCCAAACAAGGAAGTGGCGTGGCTATGCTGTCTACATCATTTGAAGAGCTCAGTGCAAAATAAAAGTGGTGACTCTTGTTCATTAATTAAAAATTATAAGCAGGGAACAGCAGAACATTGAACAAAGCATGGGCTCTTATTAGTGTGGAGGCTTATGTGACTGCATAGGTTGTATACCCATGAAGTTGGCTCTGGACACAGCCAATAATCTTTTAGAAGGTTAGTCTTTCAAGACACAGTGTGTCTACAGGCAGACTACCTAACAAATAATTAAAATACTCTTTGTGTGAAGTAACAGGGAGTAGCTCAGTGGTAGCAGTGAAAAGGATAAGAAAGGCACCAACGGAAAAGCTGTGGCAGAAAATAGACTTTAGAAATGATGATATTGGTTGGGTAGGTGGGGTAGAGTTAAATAAGGAAAATGCGAAGGTGATTTAGATATTAAAGCTGAGTGTCCATGGAGAATAGAAACTACTACTTGTTAAATTGTTTACTATATGCCAGAATCTTGAAGGAGTTTAGGAAATGGCACCCCAAAATATGCCACTTTGGTACACGGATTACTTTGAGCTCAAAGCACTGAAAATATAGCACACACAGGGAGAGACTTTGTCTGAACTCCACTTATCTACCTAAAGCCACATACTCCAGAAAGAATTCACTTGTCATACATTGGGATCCATAAGAATTTTATCAACCAGGAAAGTTGAACCCTTATCACATGATAGATAGACAAGAAGTCAGCACCACACCCTGATAAACTTTGTCATAAACAATCATCTATTCTTAGGGCCGATTTATTTTTTCCCAAACCATTTACTGGCATTTAAGGTACCTAAATCCCTCCTCTTCTTCCCCCACTATGAAAAGGGCATATAAGCTCCTAAGTATCACTGAGTTTTTGGGTATTTACTTTTCTGTGATGACCTCCATGCACATAATAAATTTCTATACACTTTCTCCGATTAATCTGCCTGTTTTCAGTTTATTTCATAGACTCAGTTATTGAACTTTCTGAGGGTAGATTGAAAGTCTTTTCAATCCAATAATCTCTTTGGTACTTTATGAACATTTTATTCTCAAAACAACATATTTGTGTCAATTATAATTATTGTAATTTTAAAGATAAAGAAACCGTGGTTTAAAGAATACAAGATGGTTGTCTAAGGTCATAAATTTAACAGATGGTGTTGCTATAAGGATTTCATCTGTAAGTCTGCTTCTAAAAGCCTGTGCTCTTTACACTGTATTACATTTCCTCTTTTCACCAAAAAGGCAAATTAGTGGTATTCCTTGTTTGAAGTATAGGTGGGTATTCTCTGGATCTGATTTCTTTATCACTCATTTATGCAATATATCCTTGCCTAGTGCCACCTATATGCCTAGGTTCGGTGCTTGGTAATGGTGATAAAAAGATAAAAGAATTTATTTTAGCAACTCCTATGTGATGAAGAATACAATGGTGATGCCTCTCAAAAATATAATTTATTTTAATACTTCCTCGTTATTATGATTTTACTTCTGGACTGTACTGCTGACAGTTTTATACCGGTGATTAGAGTGTTTGCCAATCCTAACATATTTTATTATTTTATACTACATATATAGTATGTATTATGTATATGTATATATTTGTGTATGTGTACGTATATACACATATGTGGCATCATAGCGTAGTTGCTTCAATTATGGAGCCAAATTCTCTGTCACTTACTAGCTACCTGACCTTGGGCAAATTGCCTAACCTCTCCACATCTCCATTTCCTCAAAAAAAAATGGGGATAGTAAGTGTGATGGTTAATTTTAGGTGTCAGTTTGACTGGATTAAGGAATATCTAGAGAACAGGCAAAGTGTTATTTCTGGGTGTGTCCCTGAAAGTATTTCCAGAGGAGAATGTTCCAGTGAATCTGTGGACTGAGTGGTGGAAGATCTACCCTCAATGTGAGTGGTAACCATCAAATCGACTGAGGGCCCAGACAGAACAAAAACAGCAGGGGGAAAACTGGTGTTTTCTTTCTTTCTTTCCTTTTTCTTTTTTTTCCCCTCTCTCTCCTGGATCTGGAACACTCTTCATCTCCTACCTTTGGACATCAGAACTCCAGGCTCTCCCGCCTTTAGATTCCAGGATTTACACCAGCAGTTCCCTGGGCTTTCAGGGCTTCAGCCCAGTCCCAAGAGTTACACCATTGGCTCCTCTGGTTCTCAGGCTTTCGGACTTGGACTGAGCCATGCTACTCACATTCCAGAGTCTCCAGCTTATAGACAGCCAGTTGTGGGACTTCTCAGCCTCCATAATCACATGAGCAAATTATCTTAATAAATCCCCTCTCATCTATCTATACATTCTTTTACCATTTGTTCTGTTTCTCTGGAGAACTCTGACTAATACAGTCAGGGTGCCTACCTTGAAGTACTGTAAAGAGGCTAGTGAGTAAAAACATTAACTACCTTTAACAGTGTATTAATCGGTTCTTACATTGCTATAAAGAAATACCTGAGATTGGGAAATTTGTAGGGAAAATAGGTTTAATTCGCTCATGGTTCTGCAGGCTATACAGAAAGCAGATGGTGGCATCTGCTTCTGGGGAGGCCTCAGGGAGCTTTTACTCAAGGTGGAAGGCAGAGTCCCAGCAGGAGTCTTATATGGCAGGAGCAGGATTGAGAGAGGGGAGGTCACTTTTAAATGACCAGGTATCATGAGAACTTACTCACTATCACTAGAATACCAAGGGGGAAATCCACCCCCATGATCCAGTCTCCTCCTACCAGGCCCACCTCTAACATTGGTTATTACAATTCGTCATGAGACTTGGGTGGGGACACAGATCCAAACCATGTCAAACACTATCTAGCACATAGTCAACACTCAATAAATGTTAACTCTTTATATGACATTGGCCCATGCTTATTTTAGACGAGTCCTAGATTTCAAGCTGGTAAATTTTATGGCCAATATAAAGAGTAGATGAAAATGCATCAGGATAAAATAGGTTTGTGATTTTTATTCATTATAATGTAATAAATTATCAGTGGAGCTTGTGGTAAGGAAAAAAATAAATTATGTTATTTTCAGACCAGTAAATCATAAACAACCAGAATCTAGTTTGTTAGTAATTATTCCACTAGGCGTTAGCATGCTTTACCAGTTAGTCAAATAGTACTATCCATATATATTTTATGTGCTGAGGTACACATATACATATAAGGGCAGATATATTTTGGATGCTAACTCAGCAGTGTAGTAAGTGGTGATAATGATTATTCATGCAGTATTCTCTAGAGTTTTCTACATAAGATTAGAGAAATATTACTAATTAAGCCATAAACCTGTGTTTGTAAACTTTATTAGAGTTGTATAATATGTACTTGGTAATTTTCATTTCTCCTGCATTATACTTTATCTTATCTGTCTAGTCAAAATCAGACTATTTCAGTAAGAGTAAATTAATGGTAGTGTTATACAGTTCCTAAAAATAGTGCAGTAGTTTTCCTTTTTATGCCCCTTCCACTGAAGAATTAATTTGTTATGAATGTGTTTCATTAATTTTATCACAAAAATAGAGATAATTGATTATACTTTTAACTGCATTGCCAGTGAGTTATTTGAAAAAAATCAGTGTCTGTGGACCATTTTTTGACTATTTTAGCTCTAATACTTCCTATTCTTTATTATTAATAAAGCTTCCACACTGATCCCCCCCAACCATTTTCCTCTCATAGGGTCCCCTTTTTCTTGAGTGCCTTGCCTTTCCATCTCTGTAACTGCAAACATTTACTTAATTACTTTATCTTAAAACAATTTTTTATTTTTCTATATTCCCAATATTAGCATTTCTGTCTGCATTTGTCTTTTAGCACTTATCACTTTATATCGTATAAATATTTGGGAAAGGGGCAAAGGCCAAACTCCATACTTATAACATATTATATGACATCAACTTTGACTTATTGACTCAACTCTGAGGCTCTTGGAAGTTCTTTGCACCCTATAAAGCAAATCTAATGCATAAATTATTATTAAAAATGAGTCAGGGGCTTCTCTATGACTCTTGTGCCTTTGAGGGGGTTAGTAAAGGGCAAGAAAATGTCAAATTTGTTTTTACATGACAAGTGCTGAGATAAGAAAACAAAAATAATTACCTGGTTTCAGGTAGTTACTATGAATCATATGCTCTCTTGCTAGTATTAAAGAAAATCTTGCTGGGCAAAATACAAATTGATCTAATAAAACTTAGTGATCCATTTCCAATGAGAAAGTCTTAAGAATAAATAAGCTGGTGGAAAGTAGGCCCCCACTTCTGCCACTATCATTTTGGTGAGCCTTTAGCAAGAAGGAATAGGCAAAATGGACCTGAGGCAGCAGTGGCAGGGAAGAGCCAGAGGAATGGCCCTGAACTATGGGGTGATAAAAGTGTCAACCCCCAACTTGACACCTTTGCTTCTGCTCTTAAACAAAGACCTAGAAACTGGAGCCCAAGAGGAGTCAAATTCTGGGTGGAGGGGAGTCACCAAGAGCACACACATCATCACCTGAAATGAGTGTATAGCCAATCCTGTGGTCCCACTCACGCCTAAGCCTGAAGATTAGAGGAAGAACAACTAGGATTACTACCTTCCCTTGTTTATTGTTCTTAGTTAAATGGAGTTTATTCTATGCTGGGAGCATGATGTGCTATAAGGCCTTGTTAAGAGGTTAAGAGTAGCTTAAATCTATGTGGATTAGTTATGGAGAAACAGAATAAGCTATTTACCCCTTTCTTTAAAGTCTTTCAATTATGGGATAGCTTAAACAAGGAGAAGAAGGGACAGACAGTTACCAGGTAGGGAAAGTCTCTAGAAACTGGGTCAGAAAAGAAATAGCTGAATAAACTGGTTGTTTAATCTAGAAAAGAGGACTTAACAGGTATCATGATAACTTTTCAAATAATTACAGACCCTTTATATGGGAAACTATGCTTTTTTGTTTCAACTAAAGAAGCAGTCCTAAGACTAATGAATATCCTATATTAAGAAGTAGATTTTAGGATAGTGGAAAAAAAATCAGTCAATCACCAACTAACCAACAAACAAACATAAACTTTTACTACAAGAGAAAAATGCTTTCTTATGAATTAATGAGTTCTGGGTCATTAAAAGTGTTCAAGTAGAAACTGAATGACCACATTTAGGGAACAGTGCAGAAAAGAGTCTAACATCTGATAATGGTTGGGTTAAATGACCTGTAATATTTCTCTGAAATCTAACATTTTATGTTTCTTAGAATGTACCAAATTTAATGCCTTTAGATATAAGATTCAGGAAGCCATAATATTTCTAAGCAATTTCTCATGTCCCATTTAGTAAAAAATAAAGAAATGAACTAGTTCCTGAATGAGAAAGGAATAGACTTGGAGCTTTGTAAAATTTTCTGATCAAAAGAGGCCTTCAAAATCTTTTGTCCTATGGAATCTAAGAAAATAATGCACTAAATTCTAACAACTTTCTCATATATACATATATATATACACACACACACACACATACACACACACTATATGTATGTGTGTGTGTGTGTGAAAGCTACTTTCATTTCTCATCTTGTGAGGAGGTGTCATCTCTAAGATTTATCACTTTTTATGATCCCATTCACCTCAGAGAGCAGTTTCTCATGTGCAATCAGAGCACCATTTAATTAGACTATCCTGGGGTGCTGCTTTAAAATTTAGATTTTTGGCCCTACTCAGGCATAATGAATTAGAATCTTTTTGATAGTACTTTTTGAATCTTAATATTTAACAAATACCATTGTGATTCTTATGCATATTAAAGTTCAAGAATATTTTCTGTAGGTCTTCAAGATTTGAGGTTTCAGTATATAAACATGTTTTATTTTCATGATATCAAATATCCAAAAACCCACTTCTTCTTAATTTCAGGGGATAAAACTCTTGACAAAAATCAATAATTACTCTCTAAAAATATTTTTCTTGATGTAGATTTTTTTCTTGCTTTCATTCATCAACTTTAGAAAAAGAGAAAATCATAATATATTTATTTTTACATATGAGCATGTACTTCTAATAGGGGAATCACATCAGATAATTTTCAAAAGAAGGAAAAAAATTTATGTTTTGTTTATTCATGTAAAAATAGTTGGTAGTGGGTTAGCTTATTATTTACAACAGCATGCTACTGAATTCAAAGATATGCCTGTATTCTATGTGGTCAGTAATAATATTTCATTCCATGGTCTTAAAAATTCATGTTCTTATTTGAAGGGGTAACTGTGTTTACCAAGACTTTTTTAAAATTGCCAGTTACAGAAATGATACTCAACCCATCTAAAGAAAATGAAATAAACTCATAACTGGAAAGGATAGGATTAAACTTCAGGTATGTCTAGAGCTGGGGCTCAAATAATGTCATCAGAAGTTTGCCTTGCGCCATCACTTAACTCTGAGATTTTTCTGGATTAACTTCGTTCTTTAAGTGCTCCCTATGTGGTCACAAAGATGCCTGTCACTGAAACCAGCCCAATTTCTCCATAGAACTGATATTTACAGGTTTTTTGAATAAACAAAGAAATTGACCCTTCCGGTCTTAAAACTTGAAACTTAAATTTGTCTTGCCTGAGATCTTCCTCAGAAAAGGGACTGAGTCACTAGATCACCGCATCCAGCCAGGTCCCTCCCTAATTTCTCTTTACCAACTCCTCTTCCTTAACCCTTCCTAATTTCTGTTTTCCATCATGTAGTTAAATTTCTTCCCTGCTATATAAACCTCTAGATTTATCTGAGTTGACATCACTGAAATAAAAAGTCTTCTTCCCTGGCAATACTTATTGGCTCAATGACTGGCTTTCTGTATGGGGAGCAACAGGACCTAGACCAAACCCCTGGCATTTTTGTAACATCATCAGCATTAGGTTCGTATTGTTCTTATACCTAACGGTCAAAGAGAAAAAGAAAAACTCCCAGGATGGCCTCCTTGGCCCAGCCTGAGTTGTACACCTATTCCCGACTTACTCGCAGTGGCCAATAAAATGAAGTACTTGGAGTTCTCTAATTTTTTCATTCCTGTGTCACACATCCAACTTTGAAGCCAAGGTTTGTGTCACCTAATGGGAATCTAAGAGTATGTGTGAGCAGGGGCTTGGTTCTCCCAAAGAAGGAGATGTTGAGCAGAAGAAAGTAGATGATGTCCCCCAGTGGAACTACTTAAAAGTCCTTTCAATATATATTCATTGATTACAAAATATTGGAGCTATAGAGGGAAATCCCACACTGATCTCCTTTCATTATGCTCAACCCAGTGGATGGGATTAGTCTTTGACAATTGCTTTGTAAAGTGGTAAAGGCTATGGTGGAAATAGAAGTTCTGAGGGAGCCAAGAGGACTTTAGCTAAGTGGGACTCAGTAATTTGAAGAGAAAACACCAGAGGTGACAGGTGAGCTGGATCTGGAGATACAGTGGGAGGGAGAACCCTGGAAGAGGATCATAATTTAAAAAGGAAAGTAAGTGAGAATATCATCTTCTTGTATGATAGCTGGTATTTATATTATAGTCAAAGTAGACATTTAAGCAAGCAGTTTGAGGAAAAGTCCTCAGTCAGGGTAAAATTTGAGTTGTTTGTCCATTTTGGCTGGGAGCCAGTGTAATCTAACCTAGATAATTTCTACTAAAGCGAACTGTGATTCTACTTGTAAGGAAAGTCCTATATTGGGAATAAAGATTTTTTTCCAGATCATGTTGTTAAGATAAAATGATAGAAAGCTCTTAAAAGCAATTTCAGTGATGTTTAACACTTTTCCTTCATACTGAAGGAAAAAATGTGGCAGCAATTCAGGAAGGGCATGCTTAAAATTCAGTGAAATGCAGAAAAACACTGGAAGTTAAAAGTGAAACAATTCTCTGTAGATTTTGTTTGCTTTTAAAGATAAGGACAAGTATTCCATGAATGTGTCACTGGTGATGATTTAAATATGGAATACTCTGAATACAGTATTGATTCAAAATATAAAAACAAAAATAGTCGTAATTATTTTGGAGTGGAATGGAGTAAAGTGGAGCCAGGAAAGAGACAGTGTAATAAGGTGGCACAATTGCAAAACTATATTTGGATATAATTAGCTTCAGAGAGACCAAGCAATCCTAGAATGATAATGCAGGTGATGATATTAAGAACACTGTTTTAAACTCTGTTCCTATATTGTTGTATTTAATCTTCAGAATGACCCTTTATGTCGGCTGCAGTATTTTAACCATGAAATAACAAGACAAAGGTAAACTGAGTAACATAGCCAAAGTCAGGGATCTGGTATTAGAGCTGAGATCATGACATATGCAGTGACACTGGAGTCCAACTTTGGATAATATTTGTTAGTATTTATTAAACATCTACTGTGAGTCCAGACTTATATTTGCATCTTCTGTTCTTCACAGATGCTTGATGAATAGATATTATTTTATACCCCATTTTACAGATGAAGAATGACTGAGAAGCTGAGAAAATTGTCCAAGTAGAATTAATAAATGTAAAAATCTTGACTAAAAATAGATCTTCTGGACTTCACAGACTGTACTTGAATCACTACTCTATATGATCTCTTTCCTATGCTAGATACAATGATAATCATAAACAAGGGGTAATCTAGACTTTCATTATCTTTGGTAAATTCACAGAAAATGCCCATTTAATTACAAGATACTACTATACTGAGATTTTAATAGTAAAGAATTAATGAAGAATTTAAATATTCTAGTTACAAAAATAATTAATTTAGAACTATGTGTAGCAGTTTGAGATTTAAATTTATTTATGAAAAGTTACATTAAAATATGTTTCATATATTCTCAATACCTCTCTGAACTTTTTCTTATTCTTAAGATATTTCATTGAATTGTGATACTGATTTCAGATATAACATTGTTAGAACTCTGGTTAAATACACTGGTAACATTTGTTAGCGGTTAAAAATTTAACACGGGCTTATGGTTCAATGTAGTAGATTGAGCATATGCTGATGTCTACTGCTTTGTTCCAAAACTCATTTTAATAGGAATACAAGTATAGAAATAAGAAATGGAGGAAGAGTGTCAATGGGGTATGAAAGCATTTGTAAAATCTTATGGGAAGTAATTAGTGGATGAAGGAATAGAAATACAGGAAACCACATCTTAGAAAATGTCCAAAGAGGAGCACATATCAGAAGAGCCTTACCTTGCGTTTCAAATACCAAGAGGTCATATGGGACTTGGAAATTCCAGGTTAGAATAGACACAGGTGTGTGTAACTTTTTGAAAACAAGGGAGTGGAGGATAATGGAAAGCCTGTAGCTGCATAATGTTCACTTCTCCCACATCTTCCTCTCATTTGAACACAACCTGAAGCCAAAGAATGCCTCCAAACAAACAAACTATATATATATACATATATGTATATATATATGTATATATATATATATATGTAAATTAACTAAAAATGGGCACAGAAAGTAGAACAGTGGTTACCAGAGGCTGAGAGGAGGAATGGGAAGTTACTATTTAATAGGTACGGGGTTTCAGTATGGGATGATGAAAAAATCTGGAGATAGATAATGGTGATGGTTGCATAACAATGTGAATGTACTTAAGACCACTGAAATTAGAAATGTTTTAAATGGTAAATTTTATGTTATTGGTATCTTACTACAATAAAAAAAGTAAGGAGACTTCTTAAGTATACTAATTAAAATGATGATATGGTAAAACAAGGACAGTTAATGTGGGAATTGCTATCCTAGTGGGAAGGCTTTAGCATTTCAGCCAGTCATAGTGGTTGACTTGCTACTACAGTCTCAACATAAGGTTAAGGCTTCCAGTTGATAAACTCTTGCCCATGAATATGAAGACTTCAGCTAGATTTTCTGCTGTCTCAACCCTAAATACAAACCAGGAATCAAGGATGGCCAGACAAATGAGGAATGTTTAAGAGAAAGGGCAAGATTAATAATTAACAATAATAGTCTGATAGGAAATAGTTAATCTAGTAAGCAGAAAAGTACTTTAAAATTTTCTCTAATTAGTATCATTAGAGGGATGTTAGAGAGATATTTCATTTATTAAATCATAAAAGTATGCTCTAAAAAAACACATAAAAATGTAACCAATGTGAAAAAAGTAAACAATCTCTTAGAATAAAAGGAGAAAAAAAAAGCAAGAAAAGGAAAATGAGAATAAAGACAAGGATTAATTCAAAGTTTGCCACATAAATAATGGAAGTTCTTGAAAGAGAAAACAGAGAAAACAGAGCAAGCAATTATCAAATAAATAAAGAAAGAGGTAACCTTGAGCTGAAGTATGAGTGTTTATGTTGAAAAGGCCCACTGTGTACTCAGCAAAGTGAAGAAAATGCATTTTCTGAGACATGTTATGAAAATTCAGAATATAAATGATAAAGAGAAGATGCTAAAGTTTTTAGAAAGAAAACAACAAAGGTAAAAACAGATCACCTTATAACTCAATAATGAAAAGACAAAAAGCCCAACTTAAAAATGAAGAAAGGATCTGAATAGACATTTCTCCCCAGAAGAGAGACTAATAGCCAATAAACATGAAAAGATGTTCAATGTCAATAGCCATCAGGGAAATGCAAATTAAAACCTCAATGAGATATCACTTCACACTCTCTAAGATGGCTATGATGAAAGAGATAGTAAGTGGTGGAGAGGATTTGATATATTGAGACCCTGTTACATTGCTGCTTGGAATATAGAATGATGTATTGCTTTGGAAAAGTTTTTCAGTTTTATATGGCCAAACAATTCCACTCCTAGGTATATAACCCAAGAGAAATCAAACCAAATGTCCCTACAAAAACTTGTGCATAAATGTTTATAGAAGTATTATTCATAAAAGCCTTAAAGTAGAAACAACTCAAATGTCCATCAACTGATGGATGGGTAAGCAAAACGTAGTATGTACATACAATGACATAATATTAGGACATAAATAGGAATGAACTCTCGATACATGCTACAACATGGATGAACCTTAAGATCATTATGCTAAGTCAAAGAACCCTACATATTTGAGATTCCATTTTTAAGCTATGATCACAATGAAAATCTACAAAGATAGAATGCAGATTAGTGATTGCTGAGGGATATGGGGTTTGAGGGAAAATAGGAAGTGACTGCTTACTGGGGGCGGGATTCTTTTATTTTCTTCTTTAGATTTCAACGTTTATTTTAGATACAGGAGGTATATGTGCAGGGGTGTTACATGGGAATATTGGGTGATGTTGAGGTTGGGAGTATGGACCCCATCACCCAGGTAGTGAGCATAGTGCCCAATAGGTAGCTTTTTTCAACCCCCCACCCCCAGTAGTCTGCAATGTCTATTCCCATATTTATATCCATGTGTATTCAATGTTTAGCACCCACTTTTAAGTGAGAATATATGGTATTTGGTTTTTTTATTCCTGTGTTAATTCACAGGATTATGGCCTCCAGCTCCATTCATGTTGCTGCAAAGGACATGATTTTATTATATTTATGGCTACATAGCATTTCATGATGTATATATACTGCATTTTCTTTATCCGATACACCATTGATGGGCACTTGGGTTGATTCCATGTCTCTGCCATTGGAAATAGCACAGCAATCAACATGGGAGTGCATGTGTCTTCTTAGTAGAATAACTTGTTTTCCTATGGGTATATACCCAGTAATGGGGTTGCTGGGTGAAATGGTAACTCTGTTTGAAGTTCTTTGAGAAATCTCCACACTGCTTTCCACAGAGACTATAGTAATTTACATTCCCATAAACAATATATAAACATTCTGTTTTCTCTGCAGCCTCACAAGCATCTGTTAGTCATTGATTTTAATAGTAGCCACTGTGACTAGTATGAGATGATATCTCATTGTGGTTTTGATTTACATTACTCTGATGATTAGTGATGCTGAGGACTTTTTCATGTTTGTTGGCTGCTTGTGTGTTTTCCTTTGACAAGTGTCTGTTCATGTCCTTTGCCCATTTTTTAATGGTGCTATTTGTATTTTGCTTGTTTATTTAAGTTCCCTATAGATTATATATACTAGGCCTTTGTTGGATGCATAGTTTGTGAATATCTTCTCCCATTCTATAAGTTGTCTTTTCCTATGTTGAGTTTCTTTTACTGCACAGAAGCTCTTTAGTTTAATTAGGTCTCACTTGTTTATTTTTGTTTTTGTTGTGATTGCTTTTACGGACTTAGCCAAAATTTTTTTTACCATGGCTGATGCTGAGAAGAGTATTACCTAGGTTGTCTTCCAGGAGTTTGAGTTTTTTTTAAAATTATTATTATTATACTTTAGGTTTTAGGGTACATGTGCACAATGTGCAGGTTTGTTACATATGTATACATGTGCCATGTTGGTGTGCTGCACCCATTAACTCATCATTTAGCATTAGGTATATCTCCTAAGGCTATCCTTCCCCCCTCCCCCCACCCCACAACAGTCCCCAGAGTGTGATATTCCCCTTCCTGTGTCCATGTGTACTCATTGTTCAATTCCCAACTATGAGTGAGAACATGTGGTATTTGGTTTTTTGTCCTTGCGATAGTTTGCTGAGAATGATGGTTTCCAGTTTCATCCATGTCCCTACAAAGGACATGAACTCTTCATTTTTTATGGCTGCATAGTATTCCATGGTATATATATGCTACATTTTCTTAATCCAGTCTATCATTGTTGGACATTTGGGTTGGTTCCAAGTCTTTGCTATTGTAAATAGTGCTGCAATAAACATACGTGTGCATGTGTCTTTATAGCAGCATGATTTATAATCGTTTGGGTATATACCCAGTAATGGGATGGCTGGGTCAAATGGTATTTCTAGTTCTAGATCCCCAAGGAATCACCACGCTGACTTCCACAATGGTTGAACTAGTTTACAGTCCCACCAACAGTGTAAAATTGTTCCTATTTCTCCACAACCTCTCTAGCACCTGTTGTTTCCTAACTTTTTAATGATCACCATTCTAACTGGTGTGAGATGGTATCTCATTGTGGTTTTGATTTGCATTTCTCTGATGGCCAGTGATGATGAGCATTTTTTCATGTGTTTTTTGGCTGCATAAATGTCTTCTTCTGAGAAGTGTCTGTTCATATCCTTCACCCACTTTTTGATGAGGTCGTTTGTTTTTTTCTTGTAAATTTGTTTGAGTTCATTGCAGATTCTGGATATTAGCCCTTTGTCAGATGAGTAGGTTGCGAAAATTTTCTCCCATTTTGTAGGTTGCCTATTCACTCTGATGGTAGTTTCTTTTGCTGTGTAGAAGCTCTTTAGTTTAATTAGATCCCATTTGTCAATTTTGGCTTTTGTTGCCATTGCTTTTGGTGTTTTAGACATGAAGTCCTTGCCCATGCCTATGTCCTGAATGTTATTGCCTAGGTTTTCTTTTAGGGTTTTTATGGTTTTAGGTCTAACATTTAAGTCTTTAATCCATCTTGAATTAATTTTTGTATAAGGTGTAAGGAAGGGATCCAGTTTCAGCTTTCTACATATGGCTAGCCAGTTTTCCCAGCACCATTTATGAAATAGGGAATCCTTTCCCCATTGCTTGTTTTTGTCAGGTTTGTCAAAGATCAGATGGTTGTAGATATGTGGCATTATTTCTGAGGGCTCTGTTCTGTTCCATTGATCTATATCTGTGTTTTGGTACCAGTACCATGCTGTTTTGGTTACTGTAGTGTAGTATAGTTTGAAGTCAGGTAGTGTGATGCCTCTGGCTTTGTTCTTTTGGCTTAGGATTGACTTGGCAATGTGGGCTCTTTTTTGGTTCCATATGAACTTTAAAGTAGTTTTTTCCAGTTCTGTGAAGAAAGTCATTGGTAGCTTGATGGGGATGGCATTGAATCTATAAATTACCTTGGGCAGTATGGCCATTTTCATGATATTGATTCTTCCTACCCATGAGCATGGAATGTTCTTCCATTTCTTTGTATCCTCTTTTATTTCATTGAGCAGTGGTTTGTAGTTCTCCTTGAAGAGGTCCTTCACATCCTTTGTGAGTTGGATTCCTAGGTATTTTATTCTCTTTGAAGCAATTGTGAATGGGAATTCACTGATGATTTGGCTCTCTGTTCGTCTGTTATTGGTGTATAAGAATGCTTGTGATTTTTATACATTGATTTTGTATCCTGAGACTTTGCTGAAGTTGCCTCTCAGCTTAAGGAGATTTTGGGCTGAGATGATGGGGATTTCTAGATATACAATCATGTCATCTGCAAACAGGGACAATTTGACTTCATCTTTTCCTAATTGAATACTCTTTATTTCCTTCTCCTGCCTGATTGCCCTGGCCAGAACTTCCTACACTATGTTGAATAAGAGTGTTGAGAGAGGGCATCCCTGTCTTGTGCCAGTTTTCAAAGGGAATGCTTCCAGTTTTTGCCCATTCAGGATGATATTGGCTGTGGGTTTGTCATAGATAGCTCTTATTATTTTGAGATACGTCCCATCAATACCTAATTTATTGGGAGTTTTTAGCATGAAGGGTTGTTGAATTTTGTCAAAGTCCTTTTCTGCATCTATTGAGATAATCATGTGGTTTTTGTCTTTGATTCTGTTTATATGCTGGATTACATATATGGATTTGCATATGTTGAGCCAGCCTTGCATCCCAGGGATGAAGCCCTCTTGATCATAGTGGATAAGCTTTTTGATATGCTGCTGGATTCGGTTTGCCAGTATTTTATTGAGAATTTTTGCATCAATGTTCATCAAGGATATTGTTCTAAAATTCTCCTTTTTGGTTGTGTCTCTGCCTGGCTTTGGTATCAGGATGATGCTGGCCTCATAAAATGAGTTAGGGAGGATTCCCTCTTTTTCTATTGATTGAAATAGTTTCAGAAGGAATGGTATCAATTCCTCCTAGTACCTCTGGTCGATTTCGGCTGTGAATCCATCTGGTCCTGGACTCTTTTTGGTTGGTAAGCCATTGATTATTTCCACAATTTCAGAGCCTGTTATTGGTCTTTTCAGAGATTCAACTTCTTCCTGGTTTAGTCTTGGGAGGGTGGATGAGTCGACGAATTTATCCATTTCTTCTAGATTTTCTAGTTTATTTGTGTAGAGGTGTTTGTAGTATTCTCTGATGGTAGTTTGTATTTCTGTGGGATCAGTGGTGATATCCCCTTTATCATTTTTTATTGCATCTATTTGATTCTTCTCTCGTTTCTTCTTTATTAATCTTGGTAGCAGTCTATCAATTTTGTTGATCCTTTCAAAAAACCAGCTCCTGGATTCATTAATTTTTTGAAGGGTTTTTTGTATCTGTATTTCCTTCAGTTCTGCTCTGATTTTAGTTATTTCTTGCCTTCTGCTAGCTTTTGAATGTGTTTCCTCTTGCTTCTCTAGTTCTTTTAATTGTGATGTTAGGGTGTCACTTTTGGATCTTTTCTGCTTTCTCTTTTGGGCATTTAGTGCTATAAATTTCCCTCTACACACTGCTTTGAATGTGTCCCAGAGATTCTGGTATGTTGTGTCTTTGTTCTCGTTGGTTTCAAAGAACATTTTTATTTCTGCCTTCATTTCATTATGTACCCAGTAGTCATTCAGCAGCAGGTGGTTCTGTTTCCATGTAGTTGAGCGGTTTTGAGTGAGGTTCTTAATCCTGAGTTCTAGTTTGATTGCACTGTGGTCTGAGAGACAGTTTGTTATAATTTCTATTCTTTTACATTTGCTGAGGAGAGCTTTACTTCAAAGTATGTGGTCAATTTTGGAATAGCTATGGTGTGGTGCTGAAAAAAATGTATATTCTGTTGATTTGGGGTGGAGAGTTCTGTAGATGTCTATGAGGTCTGTGTGGTGCAGAGCTGAGTTCAATTCCTGGGTATCATTGATCTGTCCAATATTGACAGTGGGGTGTTAATGTCTCCCATTATTATTGTGTGGGAGTCTAAGTCTGTTCGTAGGTCACTCAGGACTTGCTTTATGAATCTGGGTGCTCCTGTATTGGGTGCATATATATTTAGGATAGTTAGCTCTTTTTGTTTAATTGATCCCTTTACCATTACATAATGACCTTCTTTGTCTCTTTTGATCTTTGTTGGTTTAAAGTCTGTTTTATCAGAGACTAAGATTGCAATCCCTGCCCTTTTTTTGTTTTCCATTTGCTGGGTAGATCTTCCTCCATCCCCTTATTTTGAGTCTATGTGTGTCTCTGCACGTGAGATGGCTTTCCCGAATACAGCACACTGATGGGTCTTGACTCTTTATCCAATTTGCCAGTCTGTGTCTTTTAATTGGAGCATTTAGCCCATTTACATTTAAGGTTAATATGGTTATGTGTGTATTTGGTCCTGTCATTATGATGTTATCTGGTTATTTTGCTTGTTAGTTGATGGAGTTTCTTCCTAGCCTTGATGGTCTTTACATTTTGGCATGTTTTTGCAGTGGCTGGTACCGGTTATTCCTCTCCATGTTTTGTGCTTCCTTCAGGAGCTCTTTTAGGCCAGGCCTGGTGGTGACAAAATCTGTCAGCCTTTGCTTGTCTGTAAAGTATTTTATTTCTCCTTCACTTATGAAGGTTAGTTTGGCTGGATATGAAATTCTGGGTTGAAAACTCTTTTCTTTAAGAATGTTGAGTATTGGCCCCCTCTCTCTTCTGGCTTGTAGAGTTTCTGCCGAGAGATCCGCTGTTAGTCTGATGGGCTTCTCTTTGTGGGTAACCCGACCTTTCTCTCTGGTTGCCCTTAACATTTTTTCCTTCATTTGAACTTTGGTGTATCTGACAATTATGTGTCTTGGAGTTGCTCTTCTTGAGGAGTATCTTTGTGGCATTCTCTGTATTTCCTGAATCTGAATGTTGGCCTGCCTTGCTAGATTGGGGAATTTCTCCTGGATAATATCCTGCAGAGTGTTTTCCAACTTGGTTCCATTCTCTCCGTCATTTTCAGATACACCAATCAGATGTAGATTTGGTCTCTTCACATAGTCCCATATTTCTTGGAGGCTTTGTTTGTTTCTTCTTATTCTTTTTTCTCTAAACTTCCCTTCTTGCTTCATTTCATTCATTTGATCTTCCATCACTGATACACTTTCTTCCAGTTGATCGCATCGGCTCCTGAGTCTTCTGCATTCTTCACATAGTTCTCGAGCCTTGGTTTTCAGCTCCATCAGCTCCTTTAAGGACTTCTCTGCGTTGGTTATTCTAGTTATCCATTTGTCCAATTTTTTTTCAAAGTTTTTAACTTCTTTGCCATTGGTTTGAATTTCCTCCTGTAGCTTGGAGTAGTTTGATTGTCTGAAGCCTTCTTCTCTCAGCTCGTCAAAGTCATTTTCCATCCAGCTTTGTTCCATTGCTGGTGAGGAGCTGCATTCCTTTGGAGGAGGAGAGGCACTCTGCCTTTTAGAGTTTCCAGTTTTTCTGCTCTGTTTTTTCCCCATCTGTGTGGTTTTATCTACTTTTGGTCTTTGATGATGGTGACGTACAGAAGGGTTTTTGGTGTGGATGTCCTTTCTATTTGTTAGTTTTCCTTCTAACAGACAGGACCCTCCACTGTGGGTCTGTTGGAGTTTGCTGGAGGTCCACTCCAGACCCTGTTTGCCTGGGTATCAGCAGCGGTGGCTGTAGAACAGCGGATCTTGGTGAATCGCAAATGCTGCTGCCTGATGGTTCCTCTGGAAGTTTTGTCTCAGAGGAGTACCCGGCCGTGTGAGGTGTCAGTCTGCCCCTACTTGGGGGTGCCTCCCAGTTAGGCTGCTTGGAGGTCAGGGACCCACTTGAGGAGGCAGTCTGTCCATTCTCAGATCTCCAGCTGCATGCTGGGAGAACCACTAGTCTCTTCAAAGCTGTCAGACAGGGACATTTAAGTCTGCAGAGGTTACTGCTGTCTGTTTGTTTGTCTGTGCCCTGCCCCCAGAGGTGGAGCCTACAGAGGCAGGCAAGCCTCCATGAGCTGTGGTGGGCTCCACCCAGTTGGAGCTTCCCAGCTGCTTTGTTTACCTAAGCAAGCCTGGGCAGTGGCAGGCACCTGTCTCCCAGCCTCGCTGCCGCCTTGCAGTTTGATCTCAGACTGCTGTGCTAGCAATCAGTGAGACTCCGTGGGTGTAGGACCCTCCGAGCCAGGTGCAGGATGTAATCTCCTGGTGTGCCGTTATTTAAGCCCCTTGGAAAAGCACAGTATTAGGGTGGGAGTGATCTGATTTTCCAGGTGCCGTCTGTCACCCCTTTCTTTGACTAGGAAAGGGAACTCCCTGACCCCTTGTGCTTCCCGAGTGAGGCAATGCCTTGCCCTGCTTTGGCTTGCGCATGGTGCACTGTACCCACTGTGCTGCACCCAACTGTCTGGCACTCTCTAGTGAGATGAACCCGGTACCTCAGATTGAAATGCAGAAATCACCCATCTTCTGCATCGCTCAGGCTGGGAGCTGTAAACTGGAGCTGTTCCTATTCGGCCATCTTGGCTCCACGAGTTTGAGATTTTATATTCAAGTCTTTGATCCATTTTCAGTTAATTTCAGTTAATCCATTCAGAATAGGTGAAAGTAGGCGTCTAGTTTCAGTCTTCTGTGTATGGCTAGCCAGTTGTCCCAGCACTATTTACTGAATAGAGTGTCATTTTCCCAATTGCTTTTGTCAGCCTTGTTGCAGATGGTTGCAGTTGTACAACTCTATTTCTGAGTTTTTAATTCTGTTCCATTGCTCTGTGTTTGTTTTTGTATCAGTACCAAGATGTTTTGATTACTGTGGCTTTATAGTGTAGTTTGAAGTGGGATAGTGTGAGGCCTCTGCCTTTTTTTTGTTGTTTTTGCTTAGATTGTTTTGGCTATTCAGGCTTTTTTGGTTCCAGATGAAATTGGGAATAATTTTTTTCTAATTCTGTGATAAATGCCATTGGTGGTTTGATAGGAATAGCATTGAATCTGTAAATTACTTTGGGCAGTGCTCCCATTTTAACAACAATGATTCTTCCAATCCATGAGCGTGGAATGTTTTTCCATTTATTTGTGTCATCTCTAGTTTCTTTCAGCAGTGTTTTATGGCTCTCCTTGCAGAGATTTTTGACCTCCTTGGTTAGCTGTATTCCTAGATATTTAATTTTCTTTGTGGCTATTTTGAGTTGAATTATGTTCTTGATTTCACTTTCAGCCTGGATGTTGTTGGTATGTGTAGAAATGCTAATGATTTTTGTACATTAATTTTGTATCTTAAAACTTTACTAAAATAATTTATCAGTTCTAGGAGCCTTTTGGCATAGTATTTACGATTTTCTAGGTATAGAGTTATATCATCTGCAGAAAGAAATAGTTTGACTTCTTTTTCTATTTAGATGCCTTTTATTTCTTTGTCTTGCCTGACTGCTCTGGCTGGGACTTCCAATACTACCTTGAATAGAAGTGGTGGGAGTGGGCATCTTTGTCTTTTTCCAGTTCTCTAGGGGAATGGGTTAAGCTTTTGCCCATTTGGTATGATGTTGGTTGTGAATTTGTCATAGTTGACTCTCACTATTTTAAGGTAGGCTCCTTCAATGCCTAGTCTGCAGAGCGTTTTTATTATAAAGGGATGTTGGGTTTTATTGAAAGACTATTCTGCATATATTAGATGATTATATGGTTTTTGCTTTTGATTCTGTTTATGAAGTTGATTGGATTTATTGTTTTTTTGTATGTTGAACAAGCCTTGAATCCCAAGAATAAAGCCTGCTTAATTGTGATAATATATCACACTAGTATTAACTTGCTGATGTGTTGCTGGGTTCAGTTTCCTAATATACTGTTGAGGATTTTTGCATCTATGTTTATCAGGGATATTGGCCTGAAGTTTTGTTTTTTTGTTGTGTCTATGTCAAATTTTGGTATCAAGGTGATGCTGGCTTCATAGAATGAGTTAGGGAGGAGCCCGTGCTCCTCAACTTTTTTGGAATAATTTCAATAGGATTGGCATCAGTTCTTCTTTGTATGTCAGATAGAATTCCACTGTGAATGTTTCTGGTCCAGGACATTTTTTAGTTGGTTGGTTATTACTAATTCTATTTCAGAAGTTGATATTTGTCTATTCAGGGTTTCAATCTCTTCTTGATTCAATCTTGGAAGATTGTATGCTTCCAGGAATTTATCCATTTCCTCTAGATTTTCTAATTTCTGTGCATAGAGTTGTACATAGTATCCTCTGAGGGTCTTTTGTATTTCTGTGGTATCAGTGGTAACATTGCCTTTGTTGTTTCTGATTTTGCTTCTTGGAGTCTTCTCTTTCTTCTTCTTTATTAATTTAGCTAGCAGTCCATCAATTTTATTTGTTTTTATTCTGGTTTAATTAATCTTTTGTATAAATTTTGCATCTCAATTTCATAAAGTTATTTAATTGTAGTTTTTTTTTAACATTTTCTTCTGCTACTTTTGGGGGTTGGTTTGCTCTTTCACTTCTAGTTCTTTTAAGTACAAATTTAGATTGCTAATTTATGGTCTTTCTGACTTCTTGTTCTTTTAAGTACAAATTTAGATTGCTAATTTATGATCTTTCTGACTTCTTGATGAAGGAATTTAGTGCTATAAACTTTCCTCTTAACACTGCTTTGGACTGCATGCAGAGCTTTTTGTAAATTGTTTCCTTATTTTCATTAATTTCAAAGAATTTTTTGATTTCTATCTTAATTTCAATTTTCACCCAGGAATTATTCAGTATTGAGTTGTTTGATTTTTATGTGTTTGTATAGTTTTGAAAGATCTTCTTGGTATTGATTTCTATTTGTATTGCATTGTGGTCAAAGAGTGTGCTTGGTATGATTTCAATTTATTGAGGCTTGCTTTATGACTTAGCATGTGGTCTATTTTAGAATATGTTCTGTGTGCAGATGAGAAGAGTTTATACTCTGTGGTTGTTGGGTGGAGTTTTCTGTATATGTCTATTAGATCCAAATGTTAAGTTTAAGTTCAGAGTATTTTTTTGTTCTCTGCCTTGATGATCTGTCTATCACTGTCAGTGGGGTGTTGAACTCACCCATTATTATTGTGTGGTTGTCTAAGTCTTCTGTAGTTCAAGAATAATTTGTTTTATGAATGTTAGTCCTCCAATATTGGCTGTGTATATATCTAAGATAGTTAAGGCTTCTTGTTGGATTATACCCGTTATCATTATGTAATGCCCTTCATTTGTCCTTGTTTGTTTTCATTGATTTAAAGTTTGTTTTATCTGAGATAAGAATAGTGACTCCTGCTCTTTTTGGTTTTCCATTTGTATGGTATATCTTACTCCACCCTTTTACTTTGAGCTTGTTGGTGTTACATGTAAGGTGGATCTCTTGAAGACAACATATGGTTGGGTCTTTTCTTTTTATCCAGACTGCCACCTTCTTTCTTTTAATTGGGGGCATTTAGCACACTTACATTTAAGGTTAGCATTGATATGTGTGATTTTGATCCTGTCATTGTGTTGTTACCTGGTTGTGTATGCAGGCTTGATTGTGTAGTTGCTTTATAGTGCCTGTAACCTATGTGCTTTAGTGTGTTTTTTTGGTAGCAGGTGTCATTCTTTGAACCCATGTTTAGCATTACCTTAAGGACCTCTTGTAAAGCTGGTCTAGTTAAAATGTATTCCCACAGCATTTGCTCGTCTGAGAAGGATTTCATTTCTCCTTCACTTAAAAAGCTCAGTTTGGCAGGATATGAAATTCTTGGTTGGAATTTCTTTTTAAGAATGCTAAAAGTAGGCCCCCAATCTCTTCTGACTTGTAAGGCTTCTACCGAGCCATCTGTTGCCAGTCTGATGGGGTTCCCTGTGAAACTTACCTGCCTCTTCTTTCCAGCTGCCTTTAAGGTTTTTTTTCTTTCGCACTGACCTTGATGAATCTGAAGATTATATGCCTTGGGGATGGTTGTTTTATATAGTATCTTGCTGGGGTTCTCTGTTTTTCTTGGATTTGCATGTCAACCTCTCTAGGGAGATTTTCAGGGACTATATTCTCAAATTGCTTATTTTCTATTCCAATTCCAAGTTGCTTATTGTCTTTCTTTTTCTCTCAGGAATGCCAGTGAGTTGTAGATTTGGCCTCTTTACATAATCCCATATTTTTGGAGCTTTTGTTCATTTTTCTTAATTCCTTTTTCTTTATTTTTGTCTGACTGAATTGATTTGAAGGAGCAGTCTTCCAGCTCTGGGATTCTTTCCTCAGCTTGGTCTGTTCTGCTGTTAATACTTCCAATTGTATTATAAAATTGTTGCAGTGATTTTTTTCAGCTCAAGAAGTTCATTTTGGGTCTTTCTTAAAATGGCTTTTTTGTCTTTCAGGTCTTCAGTCATTTTACTGAATTGGTTTGCTTCCTTGGATTAAGCTTCAGGTTTCTCCTGGATCTCAATAGTCTTCCTTGCCACCCAGGTTAGGAACTCCAAGTCTGTCACTTCAGACAATTCAGACTTGTTAAGCACCATTGCTGGGGAGCTATTGGGTTTCTTTGGAGGTAAGGGGACACTCTGGTTTTCTGAATTGCCAGTTTTTGTGCTAATTCTTTCCCATCTGTTATTCTTTTAACTCTGGAGTAAATTGAGTATAGTCAATTGACTTTCTTTCTGGAAGTTTTCAGAGGGCTAAGACTCTATAGTTGGTCTTTGTTTATTGTTGAATTCTTGTCCTTGGCTTTGCAGTGGGGAGAATTAGTAAAATGTTTCAAATTTCAGTTTGGGCTGCAATCCAGTACATGGGACTTGAGAGCAATGGGTCTTGGATAGGCTCTTACACAGCTACATGGCTTCTTTGTGTGACTTTGCATTTGCAGGTGTGTTCTGTGGTGTGAGGAGGATAGTGCTGAATCCCTCACTGGGTCTGTACTCCTGGACCTTAGAGGAGCCACCTCCAGTCATTGACACTGAGCATGTGGCTTTGGTAGTTGTTGTTAGGTCTTTTGGGCTGTGGGGCTTCCCTGAGGAGAGATCTAGCAGGGAGATAGACCACACCCTTACCAGACCAACCCTGTGGAGGGAGGCAAACCTAGGTCCCACACCAGCCTGAGAACCTGTGTGACTCACCTCTCTCAGTTTCTTGAGAATGCTGGCTCATCTCTCATTCAGATGCTGAGCACAGATCATGGCTCAGCACTCCTAAGCCACAAACTGTGGCCCTGGTATGTCAGAACCTGGTCATGGCTCCCTCCTCTGGACCCTCTTCTAGGTACACTGGAGGATCCAAAGGTCTCCCAGGCTGCTGGAACACACTCAGGAGTAAGAAAGCTTCCAGACTGGGCAGCAGAGGCTGCACTGTGTACACCCTCCTATGGGGTGGCCAAATTGGGCCTCTAGGATGGGCTGGCATGCCGGGGGCTTTTAGGTAGATGTTCCCTTGTCCTGTGGAGAAGCAGATCCTGTTTTCTCCCTGGCAGTTAGCTGGAGCCAAAGCCTCTCAGAAGGAGACAGGTAGCCCTGCAGGGTGGGCACTTATGGCCAGGTTCCACTGAAGCTGACCTGCACTCAGATGTCCCTGGTTCCATGCTTTTGCTGCATCTCCATTTCTGTCTAATCTCTGCGGAGATCCCCCTGCCAGTTCTCTTGTCCTAGGGGATGTGGGATCTCCTGCAGCTAGGATCCCAGAGGTCTGTGGCAAGAGTGAGCAGTCCTCCAGTCCCTTCATTCACACTTTCCCAGGCACCATCTGGGTTTCTTTTTTGGAGACAAAAAAATCCTTGTAGGAATGGTTGCACAGGTCTGTGAATATACTAAAAATTATTGAATTGTATACTTTAAGTGGGTGAATTGTGTGGTGTATGAATCATATGCCAATAAGACTGATATTAGAAAAAGTCACACTGTTATCAGTCTTATAAATAGCATTAATTCTAGAAGTCCATGTATAATGTGTCAATAAATAAAGACCACCCAGATGAGAAAGCAAAGGCAGTCTATTCAGGGCTTTCTATAGCAATGGAGTTAGCCACCATTACTTGGTTTTGGCAGAAAATGAAAAGGGAGGCAGAGATGTGGGAAAGTGTTATAGTGGAAAAAAGGGAAGGCTTCATGTATGCTGATTGGAAGGTGTTGGTGTAAGGAAGCTGTAGGTAGGCTAACTAGAAGTAGGGCATCATATGTGATTGACAAGCAGTGTATACTGTATCTGGCTTTCTTTGGCTTGTACTAAGTTGGAAGCAGGGACAAAAATTAGGGAACCTGCAGTTATTAATCAACTGACCATTTGGGATCCATTTTTTTTTTCAGGAACAAGCAAACAATCCAAAACCAAATAATAACCATTTAGTCTTCTTAGATTGTTTGCTAGAGATAGTGGTTTGACTTTCTACAAGTCTAAATGTCAGATAGCAGCCTGGCTTCCTGGTCTGGTTACTGTAGATAAGGAATTTGTTCCCTAAATTTCTTGTTGCAGATTGTGAGTCAAAGCTGTATTTTTATATGTGGTCTGGTTATTGTTCATTTGTATATTTAACTTCTCAGTAAAAATGCTTTTAAAATTATAGAGGAAAAAAGCCATTAAAAATATGTACCCAAGAATTAATAAAATATGATGGCCAAATAAAACGTTACCTATATGGAGGGATCCATAAACTTTACTTAGGAAGTGAATTGAAGTTATATTTCAATAAATAAGCAAGAAAGAAGAAGAAACGACATTCAAAAAAAAGGTGATAGAATTCAGACAAGCAGGAACCTGAAGTTCTAGGAAGAGCATAGGGTGTCTCTTCCTAGAGAGCAGCCTAGAGACTAAGGATGCTAGTAAGGAATTCTATGTGGGGAAGGAAGGAAGGGAGTTTCTAAAAGAGTTGATATAAAGGGATGTTTCCAAAGAAAATAGGGATATGTAAGGGTGTGGGGAAAGAAAGACAGTTACTTTAAAAAGGCATTAGATCCTACAGGAAAAACACAAATATATTTAGTGTTTGCAGTTTTATTATTTTGAATAATTGTTCACAGCAGAGCCTATAATTTTAAAGCTGCAATAATACCAACACTATTGTTTTTCAATAAAGTTAAAATAACGTAGTTACAGAACAGATTGTATATATTATCATCCTTGGTAAAGTAAAAGTACAGGTGACAGAAGTGGGGAGGTAGAAAGTTGGGAAAAAGTGCAGGGACAGGCAGAGGTGCAGATCTCATTGTCATAAGACAGGAAGCCTAGGGATACTATCCATAGTTAGGAAATGAAAAATAAGCAGATCAGTTAATTTTTTTTTATTTTCTAAAATCTTTTAAAATCTGAGATTCTCTAATTTTTTTAAAAGAATATACTTTGAGTAGCCATCTACATATTTCTCCCCTTTTCTGACTAATCAAGTTTTGAGATCATAGCTTACTTTCACTGTTGCCTGTTTATCTTCCATTCCCTCTTCATCACAATCCTTTTCTCAATCATTGACTTTTAATAGCCAAATCTGATGAATTCCTTTAGATTTTTCTGACATATTTGAGTCATTTGCTAATGAGAACTCATTTTTTAAAAACAGAGAGACTTTAGCTTTCCTGTTATTACTCTCCAAGGAGGATGATATTACTCCCAATATTGCAGGAGTTGTAAACATTTTGTGTGATATTTTTCCTAGTATCAAGAGGCAAGAGAGGATAATATTACTCCCAATATCACAGGGGGTGTACATCCACCCTGTGATACTGTTTTTAATGCCCAGGGGAAAAGACAATGACATTACTCCCAATATCGCATGAGGTGAACTCACCCTGTATGATACTGTTCCTAATATTCAGAGTGGGAAAGGATGATATTAAGTCCAATATCTGAGAAGTGTACAAACCCCTGTGATATTGTTTCTTATATCCAGGGGGAGACAGGATAATATTACTCTGAATATCACAGGGGGTGTACACCCCCCCATGTGATATTGTTTGTAATATCCAAGGGAGGAGAAGATGATATTACTCTCAATATCTCAGGGAGTGTACACCCACCCTTTAATATTGCACATAATATCCAGTGGGGGAGAGGATATTACTTTCAATGTCCCTGAGAGTGTACATACCCCTTGTGATATTGTTCCTAATATCCAGGAAGGGAGAGGATGATATTACTCCAAATATCGCAGGGAGCGCACAACTTTCCAGAGATATGGTTCCTAATATCCAGAATGGGAGAGGATAATATTACTCCCAATATTGCAGGGGGTGTACACTCCCTCCTGTGATACTGTTTCTAATATCCAGGAAAAGAAAGAATGCTAATAATGCCCAATATTGCAAGTGTACACTCATTTCCTGTGATATTGTTCTTAATATACGGGGCGGGGGGAGAGGATGATATTACTCCTAATATCGCAGATGGTTTACACCCCTTCTGTGACAATCTTCCTAATATCCAGTGAGGGGGAAAATAATATTACTTCCAATATTGCCGGGTGTATACGCCCCCCCACCGTGATGTTTTTCCCAATATCCAGGAGGGGAGAGGACGATATTAATCCCAATATCACAGGGGATGTACACCCCCCTGTAATATCGTTCCTGATATTCAAGAGGGAGAAGGATGTTATTACCCCCAATATCGCAGGGGGTGCACACCCTCTGTGATATTGTTCTTAATGTATAGGTTTGGAGGAAAGATATTAGTCCCAATATCTCAGGAGGTTTACACCCTTTTGTTGATACTGTTTTTAATATACAGAGGGTAGAAGATGATATTACTCCCAGTATCGCAGGAGGTGTACACTCCCCCGTGATGTTGTTTCTAACATCCAAGTAGGGGGAAAATGGTATTACTCCCAATATCGCAGAAGGTGTACACCTTCCCTGTGATATTGTTCCTAATATTCAGGGGGTAAGAGGATGATGTTACTTTCAATATTGCAGGAGGTGTACACCTTATCTGTGATATAGTTTCTAATATCCAGGAAGGGAGTGGATTATATTACCACATTATAGCAGGGGATGTACACGCCCTTGTGATATTGTTCCTAATATCCAGAGGGGGAGAGGATGATATCACTCCTAATAACGCAGGGTGTGTACACCCCCGTTACATTGTTCCTAATATCCAGAAGGGGAGAGGATGACATTACTCCCAATATCTCAGGGTGGGTACACACCCCCTGTAATATTGTTCCTAATATCAAGGGGGAGAGAGGATAATATTACTCCCAATATCACAGGGGGTGTACACCTCCCCTGTGATATTGTTCTTAATATCCAGGGGGAAAGAGCATGATATTCCTCCTATTATAGCAGGGCTTGTACACCACCCATGTGATATTGTACCTAATATACAGGAGGGGAGATGATTATATTACTTTCAATATCGCAGAAAGGGTACATCCCCTTTGTGATATTGTTCCTAATATCCGGGGGAAATAAGATGATATTACTCGTAATATTGCAGGGGGTGTACACCTTTTTGTAATGTTGTTCCTAATATCCAGGAAGGAAGAGGATGATATTACTCTCAACATAGAAGGGGGTGTACACTCGCCCTTTGATATTGTTCCTAATATCAAGGGGGGTGGGAATCATATTACTATCCATATCACAGAGGGTATAAAACCCCCCCATATGATATTGTTTCCAATATCCAGGGTGGAGAGGAAGATATTACTCTCGATATTGCAGGGTGTGTACACCCGCCCTTTGATATTGTTCCTAATATCAAGGGAGGGAGAGGATCTTATTATGTCCAATATTGCAGAACGAGTACACCCTCCATGAGATATAGTTCCTAATATCCAGGGGTGGAGAGGATGATACTACTCCTAATATCGCAATGGGTGTACACGCTCCCTGTGATATTGTTTGTAATATCCAGGAAGGGAGAAGATGATATTACTTCCAAGATCGCAGAGAGTGTAAACCTCCCTTGTGATATTCTTCTTAATATCCAGGGAAAAATACGATGATATTATTGTTACTATTCCAGGGGGTGTACACCACCCCCTGTGATATTGTTCCTAATATCCAGAGGGAGAGAGGATGATGTTACTCCTAATATCTCAGGGAGTGTACACCTTTTCTGTGATATGGTTCCTAATATCCAGGAGGGGAGAGGAGGATATTACTCTCAATTTGGCAGGGGGTGCACATCTCCTGTAATATTGTTCTTAGTATTCAGTTTGGGAGAAAATGATATTAGTTTCAATATCGCTGTGGGTGTACACTTCCCCAGTGATACTGTTTTTAATATGTGGCGGTGGGGAGGATGATATTACTCCCAATATCGCAGGAGGTGTACACCACTCCTGTGATGTTGTTCCTAATATCCAGGCTGGGAGAAAATAATCTTACTCCCAATATTGCAGGGGGTGTACACACCCCTGTGATATTGTTCATAATATTCAGAGGGAAAGAGGTTGATATTACCTTCAATGTCGCAGGGGTTGTACACCTTTCCTGTAACATAGTTCCTAATATCCAAGGGGAAAGAGCATGATATTACTCCTATTATAGCGGGGGTGTACACCCCCCCATGATATTGGTCCTAACATTTAGTGGAGGGTGAGGATATTACTCCCAATATTTCAGGTGGTGTACACCCTTCCTGTGATATTGTTCCTAACATCCAGAGGAAAAGAGGATGATATTACTCCCCATATTGCAGAGGTTGTACACACTTCCTCTGATACTGTTCCTAATTTTCAGGGAGGGAGAGGATGATATTACATTCAGTATCGCAGGTGTACACCCCCGCTGTAATATTGTTCATAATATTTAGAGAAAAGGATGATATTACTCCCAATATCGCAGGAAGTGTACATCCACTCTGTTATATTTTTCCTAATATCCATGAGGAAAGAACATATTATCCTCCATTATCCAGAAGGTGTACACCCACTCTGTGATGTTTTCATAATATCCAGGGGAAGAGAAAATGATATTGCTCTTAATATTGCATGGGGTGTACACTCCCTCATGATATTGTTCTTAATATCCAGGGGGAAAGGATTGTATTACTTCCAATATCCCAGGGGTGAACACCACCCCTGGGATATTGTTCCTAATATCTAAAAAGAAAGATGAGGATATTAGTTTCAGTATCGCAGGGGGTATAAACCTCCCCTGTGTTATTGTTCCTAATATCCACTGGGGGAGGGGATGATATTACTCCCAATATGGCTGTGGGTGCACACCCCCACTGTGATATTGTTCCTAATATAAAGGGGGCTGAGGATAATATTGCTCCCAATATTGAAAGGGATGTACACCCCTGCTGTGATATTGTTCCTAATATCGCAATATCCTAACTCCCAATATTGCAGCAAGTGTACACCTCCCCAATGATATGTTTCCTAATACCCAGAAAAGGAGAGAATGATATTACTCCCAATATGCAGGGGGTGTACAACCCCCCACTGATATTGCTTATAATATCCAGGGGAGGGAGGATGATATTACTCCAAATATCACAGGGGGTGTCCACCTTCACGTCATATTGTTCCTAATATCCAGTGGAATAGAGGATGATATTACTCTTAATATCGCAGCAGGTGTACAACATTCCTGTAATATTGTTCCTAATATTTTTGGGGAAGAGAGGATGACATAACTCCTAATATCGCAGGGGGTGTACACCACCCCTGTGATATTGTTCCCAATATCTTTGAAGGGAGAGGATGATATTACTCCCAATGTCGCAAGGAGTGTATACTTTTTTTGTGATATTGTTCATATTATTCAGGGTCGAGAGGATGATATTACTTGCAATATCACAGGGAGTGTACACCCTCCTATGATACTGTTCATAATATTTAGGGAAGGAGAGGATAATATTACAGGGGGTCAACACCACCCTGTGATATTGTTTGCAATATACAGAGGAGGAGAGGATGATATTACTCACAATATCACAGGGGGTGTACACCTTCTGTGATATAGTTTGCAATATCAAGAAGGGAAGAGAATGTTACTACTCCGAGTATCACAGTTGGTACACACCCCTCTGTAATATTATTCATAATATCCAGCTGGGGAGAGGATATTAATCCCAATATCACAGGGGTTATACACTCCCCTGTGATATTGTTGGTAATATTAAGGGGAGGGAGGATGATATTACTCCCAATGTCATAAACACCATGTGTGTACACCTTCCTGTAATCTTGTTTGTAATATCCTGGGAAGAAACAATGACATTATACCCAATATCGCAGAGGGTGTCCACCCCACTGTGATACTGTTTGTAATATCCAAAGGGGGAGAGGATGATAGTACTTCCAATATGGCAGGGCATGTACACCCTCCTGTGATATTGTTCCTAAAATCTAGCCAGAGTGGGGCGGGTAGAGGATATTTTTCCCAATATCACAGGGGATTTACACCCCCTGTGATATTGTTCCTAATATCCAAGGGGTAAAAGGATATTACTCCCAATATCGCAAAGGGTGTACATACACCCTGGAATATTGTTCCTAACATACAAGGAGGAAAGGATGATATTATTCCCAACATGGCAGGGGATGTAAAATCTCCTGTGATATTGTTCGTAATATTCAGGTGGTGAGAGGATTATATTATTCTAAATATCGTAGGGTGGGTACACCCCCCTGTGATATTGTTTGTAATATTCAGGGGGGAGAGAGGATGATATTTCTACCAATATCATAGACGGTGTACACCCTCCTGTGATATTGTTCATAATATCTTGAAGAGGAGAGGATAATATTACTCTCAATATCGTAGGGGTGTACAAACCTTTGTGATAGAATTCAAAATATCTAGAAGCAGAGAGGATAATATTACTCCGAGTATTGCAGGGGGTGTACATCCCCCTGTGATATTGTTTGTAATACCCAGGGGGAAAGAAGATGCTATTACTGCCAATATCACAGGGGGTTTACACCCCTCTGTGATAGTGGTCGTTATATCCAGGAAGAGAGAAGATGATATTACTCCCAATATCGTAAACAACTTGTGTGTACACCCCTCTATGATAAACACCCTCATGGAATATTTTTTCTAATATCCAGAGGGAAAGAAGATTATATTACTCCCAATATCACAGAAGGTGTACACCCCCTCCTATGATATGCTTCATGATATTCAGGGAATTGGAGGATAATATTACTCCAAAAATCTCAGGGGGTGTACACTCCCACTGTAATATAGTTAATAATATCCAGGGAGAGACAGGATGATATTACTCCCAATATCGTAGGGTGTGCCCACCCCTGCTGTGATATTGTTCCTAATATTTATAGGGGAGAGGATGATATTACTCCAAATATCGCAGGCGGTGTGCACCCCCCAGTGATATTGTTCCTAATATTCAGGGGAGGGGAAAGGATATGACACCCAATAACAGGGGGTATACACCCCCCACTGTGATGTTTTTTATAATATCCAGGGGAGTAGAGGATGTTTCTCTTAATATCGCAGAGGGTGTACACCCCTCTGTGATATTGTTTGTAATATTTAGTGGGAAAGAGGATGTTATCACTCCCAATATCACAGGGGCTGTACAACCCCCGGTGATATTGTTTGTAATAGCCAGGGTGGGAGAAGACGATATTATTGGCAATATCACATGGGGTGTGCATCCCACTGTGATACTGTTCATAATATCCAGGGAAAAAGAGGACAATATTACTCCAAATATCGAAGGGGCTGTACACCCCCTCCCAGTGATATTGTTTGTAATGTCCAGAAAGAAAAAGGATGATATTACTCCCAATATCCCAGAGTGTACACCCCGTGTGTGGTTGTTCATAATATCCAGGGAGGAGAAAATGATATTACTCCCAATATCGCAGGGGGTGTACCCCTACCCGTGATATTGTTCAAAATATCCAAAGAAGGACAGGATGATATTACTCCCAATATCGCAGGAAATGTACACCACCCCTGCAATATTGTTCTTAATATCCAAAAAGGAAAGGTTGATATTAATCACAATATCACAGGGGGTGTACACTACTCCTGTGGTATTGTTCCAAATATCCATGGAGGGAGAAAATTACATGACTCCCAATATCGTCGGGGGTGTACACCCCTCCTGTTATATTCTTCCTAATATCAAGGGAAGAAGAACAATGTCACAGGGTGTAAAACCCTCCTGTGATATTGTTTTTAATATTTAAAGGGGAAAGAGAATAATATTACTCCCAATATTGCAGGGGGTGGACACCCCCTCTGTGATATTGTTCTTAATATCCAATGAAAATGAGTATGATATTACTCCCAATATCGCAAAGCGTGTACACTCCTTTTGTGATATTGTTCCTAGTATCCAGGGGGGAAGACTATGATGTTACTACCAATATCACAGGGGGTGTATACGCCCCCTGTGATATTGTTCCTAATATTCAGAAGGAAATAGCATGATATTACTCCCAATATGGAAGGGTGTGTACACCCCCTGCGATTTTTTGTTTTTTAGACAGAGTCTCGCCCTGTCGCCCAGGCTGGAGTGCAATGGCACGGATCTCTGCTCACTGCAACCTCCACCTCCCAGGTTTGAGCAACTCTCCTTCCTCAGCCTCCAGACTAACTGGGATTATAGGCGCCTGCTGTCATGCCCGGTTAATTTTGTTATTTTTAGTAGAGACGGGGTTTCACGATGTTGGTCAGGCTGGTTTTGAACTTTTAACCTCAAGCAATCCACCCACCTCAGCGTCCCAAAGTGCTGGGATTACAGGTGTAAACGCCCCCTACCCCCAACACCGTGATATTGTTTCTAATATTCAGGGAGAAAGAGGATGATGTTACTCCCATTATCACAGGGGGTGTACACCTCCCCTGTGATATTGTTCCAAATATTCAAGGGGGGAGAGGATGATATTATTCTTAATATCGCAGAAGGTGTACATCCCCGCTGATATTGTTTCTAATATTTGGGGGTGGGGGGAGGGGAGGGTGATATTGCTCCTTATATCATGGGGTGTGTACACCTCCTGTGATCTGGTTTATAATATCCAGAGTGGGTGAGGAGGGTGATATTACTCCTAATATCGCAGACAATGTGCAACCGCCTGTGATATGACTTGTAATATCCAGGAGGGGAGAGAAACGTGATGTTACTCATTATATCTTGAGGGATATATGACCCCCTGTGATATAATTCGTAATATCTATGGGGAAAAAGAAGGGTGATGTTACTCCCCATATCACGGGGGATGGACACCCTTCTGTGATATGGTTCATTATACCCAGGTAGGGAAAGGAGGGTGATATTACTTCCCAAACCCCGGGTGTGTACACACATCTGTGATACGGTTGATAATACCCAGGGTGGGAGAGGAGGGTGATGTTACTTTCAATATCCTGGAGGGTGTACACTTCCCTGTGATATGGTTCAGAATATCCAGGAAGGGAGAAGTGGGTGATATTACACCCCACATCACGGGGGGTGTACATCCCTGTGATATGGTTTGTAATATCCAGAAGGGGAGAGGGAGATATTACTTCTCATGTCGTGGGAACCCTACACAACCCTGTGATATGGTTCGTAATATGCGGGGTGGGGGGGGAGTGGAGAGGGTGATATTACTCTCCGTATTCTGGAGTGCATACACCCCCCTGTGATATGGTTTGTAATATCCAGGGGAGGGGGAGAGGGTAATATTACTCCGTGTATCACAGAAAGCGTGAAAGTGTGATAAGGTTCGTAATCTCCCAAGTTTGAGAGGCTGCTGTTACTCTCCATATAGCAGGGGGCATACACCACTCTGTGATATGATTCGTAATATCCCAGGGAGGAGAGGGTGATATTACTTCCCATATCGCAAGGGGCAAATACCCTCCTGTGATATGGTTTGTAATATCCCAGTGGGGAGAAGGTGATATTACTCTCCATATTGCAGGGACGTACACCCGCTTGTGATATGGTTTGTAATATTCTGGGTGGGAGAGGGTAATATTGCTCTCCATAGCATGAGGGGTGGACACCCCCCTGTATATGATTCTTAATATTCCAGGGGAGAGAGGATGATATTACTCCCCACATCACAGAGGCGTATACCCCCCTGTGTATACATACACAGTATACATACAAGCATACATACTTGGGCGTATACCTCCCAAGTAATATCTTGGGAGAAAGAAGTTGATATTACTTTCCATATCGTGGGGGCATACACCCCCTTGTTATATGGTTCATAATATCTTGTGGGGTGGGGGGAATATTACTCTCCTAATCGCAGAGGCGTACACACCTCTGTGATATGGTTCGTAACATCCCAGTGGGGAGAGGGTTATATTACTCCTTATACCGCGGGAGGTGTACACCCCCGTGATATGGTATGTAATATCTCGGGAAAGAAAGGGTGATATTACTTTCGACATCCTGGAATCTTACACCCCACTGTGACATGGTTCGTAATTTCCAGGAAAGCAGAGGGTAATATTACTCCCCATATTGCAAGGAGTGTACACCCCATGTGACCTGGTTCGTAATATTTCGGGGGAAAAGTGTGATATTACTTTCCATATTGCGGGGGGTGTACACCCCCGTGTGACATGGTTAGGAATATTCCAGGGGCGCGTGGGTGATATTACTCACCATATCGTGGCGGACGTACACTTCCATGTGATATGGTTCATAATATTCTGGGGGGCATAGGGTGATATTACTCTCCATATAGCGGGGATCATACACACCCCTGTGATATGGTTCATAATATGCAGAGGGAAAGAGGGTGATAATACTTTTCATATCACAGTGGGTGTACAACCCCCTACACCCCCTTTTGATAAGATTCATAATATTCCAAAGGGGAGAGGATTATACTACTCCCCATAGAGCGGGATGTATACACTCCTCTGTGATATGGTTCATATCCCAGGAAATAGAAGGTGATATTACTCCTCATATCATGGGAGGTGTGCACCCCTCATGATATGGTCCGTAATATCTGAAGGGGCGGAGAGGGTGATATTACTCCCCATACTGTGGGGGATGTACACTCCGCTTTTATATGATTCATAATATCCAGGAAGGGAGAGGGTGATATTGCTTCCCATATTGAATGGGGAGTGGTGTACACTCCCCTGTGATATGGTTTGTAATATCCAGGAAAAAAGAGGGCAGTATTACTCCCCATATCGTGGAGGGTGTGATGTGCCTCCTAATGTCTTGGGGGCAGAGGGTGATATTACTCCTATTACTCCCCGTATCACGGGGGTTGTACAACTCTTTGTGATATGTTTCATTATATCCCGGGGGGGAATAGGGTGATATTACTCCCCATATCACAGGGGGCATACACCCACCTGTGATATGGTTTGTAATAGAGGGCAAAAGGGTGATATTACTCCCCATGTTGCAGGGGTTTATGCCCCCCTGTGACGTGGTTAGTAATATCCCGGGTGGGAGAGGGTGACATTGTTTTCCATATCACTAGGGGCATACACCCCCCTGTGATATGGTTTGTAATATTCCAGGGGAGAGAGGTTGATATTACTCCCCATATCGCTGAAGGCTTTTACCTTCCCCCACCCCGTGATATGGTTCATAATATCTTGGGAAGGAGAAGCCGATATTGCTGCCAATATTGGGGGAGGGTGGGGGGACGTACACCCCTCTGTGATACGGTTCATAATATCACAGTGGGGAGAAGGGACTATTACTTTCCTTATTGTGGGGGCATACACACCCCTGTGATGTGGTTCGTAATATCTTGAAGGGAGAGGGTGATATTAGTCCCCATATCGCCCATGGTGTACACCACCTAGTGATATGGTTTGTAATATCCCACAGGGGAGAGGGTGATATTACTCTAGCTATCGTGGGGCATACACCCCCTGTGACATGGTTCGTAATTTCCAGCAAAGGAGAAGGTGATATTACTCCCCATATCGCGAAGAGCATACACTTTCCTGTGACATAGTTCGCAATATTTTTTGGGGGAAAGGGTGATATTACTTTCCATTTTGTGCCGGGTATACACCCCCCTGTGACATAGTTTGTAATATCTTGGGGAAGAGAGGGTAATATTACTCCCCATATCGTGGAGGGCATAAAACCCCTGTGATATGGTTTGTAATATTCCATGGGGGAGAGCGTGATATTACTTCCCAAATGGCGTGGGGTGGGGGGGGAGGTACACCCCCTGTGATATCGTTCATAATATCTCGGGGAAGAGAGGGTGATATTACTTCTCATATCACGGAGGGCGTACACCCCCCTGTGATATGGTTTGTAATATCTTGGGGGGAGAGGGTGATATTATTCCCATATCACTGGGGGAATACATCTTCCTGTGATGTGGTTCCTAATATCCTGGGGCGGAGAGGGTGATATGGTTTGTAATACTTCAGGAGAAAGAGAGTGATATTATTCTTCATATCACGGGTGGTGTACAGCACCCTGTGATATGGTTCATAATATCCCAAAGGGGAGAGAATGATGTTACTCCCATATCACGGGCAGGTACACCCCCTCCGTGATATGGTTCATAATATCTCGGAGTGGAGAGGGTGTTATTACTCTCTATATTGCGGGAGGCGTGCACCTCTTTGTGATATGATTTGTAATATCCCAGTGGTGGAGGATACTATTACTCCCTATATGGCTGGGGGTGTACACTCCTTTGTGTATGGTTTGTAATATCTCGGGGGAGCAGCGGGTGAAATTACTGCCCATGTCGCAAGGGGAGTACACCCTCTTTTGATATTGTACATAACATGCCGGTCGGGAGAAGGTGATATTACTGTCCATATTGTGGGGGGCATACAGCCCCTTGTGATATCGTTCATAATACCCCGAGGGGGAGAGTGTGTTATTACTGTTCATATCGCCAGGGAGTACAACCTCCTGTGATATGGTTTGTAATATCCAGAGAGGGAGAGGGTAATATTATTCTCCATATCACAGAGGGCTTTCACCCCCTTGTGATATGGTTCATAATGTCCAGGGGAGGAAGAGGATGATATTACTTTCAATATCACAGGGGGAGTAAACCTCCCTGTGATATTGTTCATAATATCCAGAGAAAAAGAAAATGATATTACTCCCAACATCGCAAGAAATTTACACCTCACTCTTATATTGTTTGTAACATCTGGGAGTTGGGGAAAGGATATTACACCTAATATCACAGGGGTTGTACACCCACTTGTAATATTGGTCGTAATATCCAGTAGGGGAGAGGATGATGTTACTCCCAATATTCTAAACACCCTGTTTGTACACCCACCGTGATATTTTTTGTAATATTCGGGGGGAGAGAGGATGATATTACTTCTAATATCACAGGGCGTGTACCCCCCACCCTGGGGTATTGCTCTTAATATTCAGGGGGGAGGATGATATTACTCCATATATCGCAGGGTGTGTACACCCCCTTTAATATTGTTTGTAATATCAAGTGCAAAGAGGATGATATTACTCCCAATATCGAAAATGGTGTGCACCAACCTGTTATATTGTTTGTAATATCCAGAAAGGGAGAGGAAGACATTACTCCTAATAAAGCAGAAAGTGAAAAACACTTTGTGATATTGTTCGTAATATCCAGGGAGGAAGATGATGATATTACTCTCAACATGGTAAACACGCTGTGTGTACACCCTCTCTGATATTGCTCCAAATATCCAGAGGAGGAGAGGATGATATTACTGCCAATATGGCACAAGGTGTACATTCTTCCTGTTACATTGTTTCTGATATCCAGGATGGAGCCGATGATATTACTCTTAATATTGCAGGGGGTAACCCCATCTGTGATATTGGTCCTAATATCCAGGGTGGGAGAGGATGATATTATTCTCAATATCACAGGAAATGTACACCTTCCCTGTGATATTGTTCGTAATGTTTAGGGGGTGAGAAGATAATATTACTCCCAATATCACAGGGGGTGTACACCTTCCCGATGACATTGTTGCTAATATGGGGGAGAAGATGATATTACTCCCAATATTACAGAAGGTGTACACCCCCCTGTGATATTGTTCCTAACATCCAGAAGAAAAGAGGATAATATTACTCTCAATATTGAAGGAGGTGTACACCCACCCTGTGATATTGTTCTTAATATCCAGGAAGAAAGAGAATGATATTAGTCTTGATATTGAAGGAGATGTACACATCCCCATGATATTGTTCCTAATATCTAGAAAAGGGGATAATGATATTGCTCCCAATATCGCAGGGGGTGTACACCTTTTCTGTAATATTGTTTCTAATATCCAGGGGGAGGAGAAATAGTATTATTCCCAATATTGCAGGGGTTGTACACACTTTCTGTGATATTGTTCATAATATCAAGGGGGAAACAGGATGTTATTACTCTCAATATCACCCATTGTGATATTGTTTTTACTATCCAGGGTAGGAAAGGATAATACTACTCCCAATATCACAGGGGGTGCACACCTGCCTTGTGATATAAAGGGGGAAAGGATGATATTACTCCCAATATCGCAGGCAGTGTACACCCCCTTTTGATGTGGTTCATAATATCCGAGAGGGGAGAGGATAATATAATTCTCCATATCGCAGTGGGTGTACATCACCATTTGATATTGTTCGTAATATCCAGGGGGAGAGAATGATATTACTCCAATGTCGCAGAATGTTTACACCACCCTGTGATATTGTTCATAATATCGAGAGGGAAAGAGGATGGTATTACTCCCTGTATCTCAGGAAGTGTACACCTCTTTGTGATATTTTTCATTATATCCAGGAGGGAGAGGATAGTATTACTCCCAATATCACAGAAGATATAACCCCCCTGGGATACTGTTTGTAATACCTAGAGAAAGAGAGGATGATATTACTCCAAATATAGCAGGGGGTTACGCTCCCCTGTGGTATTGTTTGTAACATCCAGAAGAAAAGAAGATGATATTACTGCCAACATCTCAGGGGAGGTACACCTTTCTATGATATTGTTCATAATATGCAGAAGGGAAGAGGAAGATATTACTCCTAATATTGCAGGGGGTGTACATCCCCTTGTTATATTGTTCATAATATTCAGAGGGGAGAGGATTATATTACTCCCAATATCGCAGAAGGTCTACCCCACCCTATGATATTGCTTGTAATATCCAGGCAAAGAAGAGGATGATACTACTCTCAATATCGAAGGGGGTGTACACCCATCCTGTGATATTGTTCCTAATATACAGGGAAGAGAAGATAAAATTACTACAAATAACGCAGGGGTTGTCCACTCATCCTGTGATATTGTTCCTAATATCCAGGGGCTATCCGCATTCCCTGTGATATTGTTTCTAATATCCAGGGTGGGAGATGATAATATTACTCCCAATGATGCAGGGGATGTACACCCTCCTCCGTGAAACTGTTCTTAATATCCAAAGCGTGAGAGGATATTACTCACAATATTGCAGGCGGTGGAAACTCCTCCCGTGATATTGTTTCTAATATCCAAAGGAAGAGAGGATATTACTCCAAATATAGCAGGGGATGAACACACCCCGGTGATATTGTTTCTAATATCTGGGGTAAAGAGGATGATATTACCCTTAATATCACAGGGGATGTATATCTACCCTGTGATATTGTTTGTAACATCCAGAATGGAATAAAATAATATTACTCCCAATATCGGAGGGGATGTACACCCGCCCTGTAATATTGCTCCTAATATCCAGGGGATAGAGGATAATGTTGCTCCCAATATCGCAGGATGTGTAAACCACCCCTGTGATATTGTTCCTAATATGCGGGGGTGGGGGGGAGGGATGATATTATGTCCAATATCACATCAAATGTACATCTCCCCTGTAATATTCTTTTTAATATACAGGGGAGGGGGAGAGGATGACATTACTCCCAGTTTTGCAGGGGATATACACCCCCCCTGTAATATTGTTTCTAATACCCAGGGGGGTAGAGAACGATATTACTTTCAATATTGCAGGCGATGTAAACGCCTTCTGTGATATTGTTCCTAATATCCAGGATATTACTTTCAATATCGCACTGGATGTACACGCCCCCTTGATATTTTTCCTAATATCCATGGGGAGAAAGGATGATATTATTCCAAATATTTCAGGGGCTGTAACTCCCCACCCCCCTGTTATATTGTTTCTAATATTCAGCAGGGTAGCAACTGATATTACTCCCAATATCACAGAAGATGTACGCCCTCCCTGTGATCTTGTTTCTAATATCCAGGGGGAAGAGGATATTATTTTCAATATCACAGGAGGTGTAATCCTTTTCTGTGATATTGTTTCTATAATCAAGGAAAGAGAGGATAATATTACTCCCAATATCACAGGGAATGTACAAACCCCTCTGATATTGTTTTTAATATCCAAAGGGAAAGAGCATGATATTACTTCCAATATCGCAAGGGGTGTACATCCCCCCTTATATTGTTCCTAATATACATGTGGGGAGAGGATAATATTACTCCCAATATCGCAGGGGATTTACATTTCCCTGTGATATTGTTTCTAACATTCAGGGAGGGAGAGGATGATATTAATCTTAATATCACAAGGGGTGTTCACACCTCTGTGATATTGTTCCTAATACCCAGTGGGGGGAAGGTAAATATTACTCGGAATATTTCAGGGAGTGTACACACACCTTGTGGTATGGTTCCTAATATACAGGGGAGAAGAGGATGATACTACTCCAAATGTCGCAGGGGGGTGATATTGTTTTTAATATTTAGGGGAGGAAAGAATAATATTACTCCCAATATTGCAGGGTGTGTACAACCCCCTTTGATATTGTTCCTAATATTTAGTGAGGGAGACGATGATATTACTGTCAATATCGCAACGGGTTTACACCACGCCGTGATATTGTTCCTAACATCCAGGGAGGGAGAGGATGATATTACTCACAATGTACACCCTCCCACGATATTGTTTTTAATATCCCAGGGGAAGGCAGTGATATTATTCCCAGTATAGCAAGAGTTGTACACCTTTTGTGTAATATTTTTCTAATATCATGGGGGAAGAGAGGAAGATATTATTCCCAACATCACAAGGGGTGTGCACCCACCCTGTGATATTGTTTTTAATATTGAGAAGAAAAGAGAATGACATTACTCCCAATATCACATGGGGTGAAGACCCCCTCTGTGATATTTTTTCTAATATTCAGAGGGTGAGAGGATGATATTACAGCCAATATCGCAGGGGTTGTACAAACTCCTGTGTTATTGATTCTTATATCCATAGGGAGACAGGATGATATTACACCCAATATCGCAATTTTGGGAGTAATATCATCCTTTCCCCTCCTGGATGTTAGTAACAATATTACGGGAGAGTGTACACCTTTTGCAATATTGGGATAAATATCATTCAATCCACCCCTGGTATTACAAACAATGTCACAAGAAGGGGTGTATACCCCCTGCGATATCGGGAGTAATTTAATCCTCTCGCACCCTGGTTGTTAGAAACAATATCACAAGGGGGCTTACACGCTTGCAATATTGGAAGCAACATCATACTTTCTTCGACGGGCTATTAGAAACAATCTCACTGGGGCACTGCATACCGCCTGCGATATTGGAAGTAATATAATCTTCTCCCCACCTTGATATTAGAAACAATATCACAGGGAGCGTGTAAACCCTCTGTGATATTGACAGTAATGTCATCCTTTCCCTCAATCTATATTAGGAACAATATCACCAAAGGGATGTACACCTTCTGTGATATTGAGGGTATTATCATCCTCTTCCCTCCTGGATTTTGGGAACACTATCACGTGGTGGGTCTACACCCCTGAAATATTGGGAGTAGTATCATCCTCTCTTCCAGTAGATATTAGGAACAATATCACGCGGGCGGGGGGCGTGTACAACGCCTGCAATATTGGGAATAATATCATTCTCTCTTTCCCTGGATATTAGGAACAACAACGAGGGGGCGGGGGGAATAAACATCTCCTGTGATATTTGAAATAACATCATTCTCTCATCCTTCGGATATTAGGAACAATATCACAAGAAGATTGTACACCCTTTGCGATATTGAAAGTAATATAACACTCTCCTCCTGGATATTATAAACAATATTACGGGGGGTGTACACCCCCTGTCATATCAGTGGTAATATTATCTTCTCCCCCTCTGGATATTTAAGACAATATCAAAGCGAAGGTGTACACCTTTGCGTTATTTGGAGTAATATATTTTTCCCTCCCTGGAAATTAGGAACAATATCCCAGGTGGGGTGTACACTCCCTGCGATATTGAGAGTAATATCACTCTCTCCTTCCTGGATACTAGGAACAATTTCAAAGAGGGGGTGTACAATACCTGGACTAATATCATCTTCCCCTCCCCCTAATTAACAGGAACAGTATCACAGGGACGATGTACACCCCTGCGATGTTGGGATTTGTATCATCCTCTTCTCCCACTGTGTATTAGAAACAATATCACAGAGGAAGTGTACAACCCCTGCAATCCTGGAAGTAATATCCTCTCCCCACTTTAATCTTAGGAAAAAATATCACTAGGAAAGTGTACAAAACTACAATTTTGAAAGTAATATAATCCTCTTCCTCCCTTCATATTAGAAACAATATCACAGGGCGGGGTGTAAACTCTCTGAGATATTGGAAGTAATATTATTCTCTCCCTCAGTGTATATTAGGAAGAATATCACAGGGGGTGTGTACACCCCTTGCGATATTGCAAGTAATATCCTCTCCCAACCTGGATATTAAAAACAACATCACAGGGCTGTGTACACGCCCTGCGATATTGGGAGTAATATCATCCTCTCCTCTCCTGGATATTAGAAACAATTTCAAAGGGGGAGCGTACACCCCCTGCGCTATTGAGATTAATATCATTTTCTCTCCCCCCGATATTAGAAACAATATCACAGGGAAGGGGTACAGCCCTTATGATATTGGGAGTAATATTTTCCTCCCCCCTCTGGATATTAGAAACAATATCACAGGGGGGTGTGCAACCCCTGCAATATTGAAAGTAATACCATCCTCTCCTTCACTGGAAATTAAGAAAAATGTCACACGGGGTTTGTAAACCACAAGTGATATTGGTAGTAATATTATACTCTCCCCCCTGGATATAGGGAACAATATTACGTAGGAGGGTACACCCCCTGCGATATGGGGAGTAATATTATCTTCTCCACCCCTGGATATTAAAAATAATGTCACAGGGAAGTTGTATACCTGCTACGATATTGCAAATAATATGATCCTTGTTCCCCCGGATATTAGGAGCAATAAGCGGGAGGGTGTACATCCCCTAATATAGTGGGAGTAATATCCTCTGTGCTCCTCATTATTAGAAACAATATCACCGGGGGTGGTGTACTCCCTCTTCGATATTGGGTGTAATATCATTTTTTCCCAACTTAAATAATAAGAACAATATCACAGGGAGGTTTTCCCTCTTATGATATTGAGAGTGATGTCCTCTCCTCCCCTAAATATTAGGAAAAATATCAAAGTGGGGGTGCACAACCTCTGGGATATTAAAACTAATATCATTCTCTCTCCACCTAAATATTAAAAACAATATCAAAGGGAGGGCATACACTCTTTTGATATTGGGAGTAATATTATTCTCTCCCCCCATATTAGGAACAATATCACAAAGCAAGTGTACACCCCCTGAATTATTAAGAGTAATATCATTTTCTCTCCCCACGGATATTAGAAAAAATAGCACTGGAAATGTGTACAACCCCTGCAATATTGAAAGTAATATAATCCCTTTTCTCCCTGCATATTAAAAAAAAATCACAGGAGTGGGTGTAAACTCCCTGCGATATTGAGAGTAATGTCATCCTCTCCCCACTTTATGTTAGAAACAGTATCACTGGAGGTGTGTACATCCTGTGCGATATTGCAAGTAATATCCTTTTTCATCTTGGATATTAAAAACTATATCATAGGGGGGTGTACATGCCCTGTGATATTGGGAGTAATATCATCCTCTTTTCTCTTGGATATTAGAAACAATATCGCAGGGGAAGAGTACACCCTGTGCGACATTGAGAGTAATATTATTTTCTCTTCACCTAGTTATCAGAAACTGTATGACCGGGCGGGGGGGTTGTACAGCTTCTGCGATATTGGAACTAATATCTTATTTTCCCCTGAATATTAGGAACAACAACACAGAGTTTTGTACACCCCCTGCCATATTGAAATAATATTATCTTCTTCTTCACTGAAATTAAGAACAATATCACAGGGGAATGTAAATCCCCTGTGATATTGGGAGTAATATCATCCTCTCCCTTCCTGGATATTAGGAACAATATTACAGTGAGGGTGTACACCTTTTGTGATATTGGGAGTAATATCATCCTCTCCCCACCCGGATATTAAAATCAATATCACAGGAACGTTGTACACCTGCTGCGTTATTGGGAGTAATGTCACCCTCTCCCCACTCTGGATATTAGGAACAATATCACGGGGGTGTGTGTATACCCCCTATGTTATTGGGAGTAATACCATCCTCTCCACTCCTACATATTAGTAACAATTTCATAGGTGGGATGTACACACTCTGTGATATTTTTAATAATATCATTTTCTCCCCCCCTGAATTTTATAAACAATATCACAGGGTGAGTGTACACCCCCTGCGATATTGAGAGTAATATCATCCTCTCACCCCCTGGATATTAGAAACAGTATCTCAATGGGGGTGGTACACTGTCTGCAATATTGAGAGTAATATCATCCTCTCTCCCCAGGATATAAGGAACAATATCACAAAGGAGTTTACACCACCTGCAGTATTGGGAGTAATATCATCTTCTCTTCCACTGGATATTAGAAATAATCTCACAGGGAGTGTGTACACCCCCTGCAATATCGGGAGCAATATCATCCTCTTCCCTCTTGGATTTTAAAAACAATATCCCAGGGCTGTTGTACACCACTTGCAATATTGAGAGTAATATCATTATCTTTTTTCCTAGATATTAAGAACAATATCACGACGGGGGTTGTGTACATACCCTGCGATACTGGGAGTAATATCCTCTCTTTCCCTGGATATTAGGAACAAAATCACAGGGGAGTTGAAGACTTCCTGCGATATTTGGAGTAATATCGTTCTTTCCCTTTCCGGATATTAGAAATAATATCACAAAGGAGGTGTTCACTACCTGTGGTTTTGGGAGTAATATTAGTCTCTTAGCCTTTGGATATTAAAAACTATATCACAGCGGGGGTGTACATCCTCTTGGATATTGAAAGTAATGTCACCCTCTTTCTCCCTGGATATTAGAAACAGTATCACAGGAGGGGGTGTACACCCCCTGGGATATTGGAAGTAATATTAACCTCTCCTTCTCTGGATATTAGGAACAATATCTCAGAATTGGTGTGCACCCCCTGAGATATTGAAAGTAATATTATCCTGTCCCTTCCTTCATATTAGGAACACTATCACAGGGGTAGGGGATAAAGTCCCTGTGACATTCGGAGTAATATTAACCTCTCCCCCACTGTATAGTAGGAACAATATCACAGAAGATGGTGTATACACCATGTGATATTTTAAGTAATGTCATCCTCTTTCAACATGGGTGTTATAAACAATATCACAGGATAGTGAACACGCCCTGCAAAATTGGGAGTAACATCACCCTCCTACCTACTGATTATTAGAAACAATATCCCAGAAGGAGTGTATACCTCCTGTGATATTGATAGTAATATTATTTACTACCATTCTGGATATTAGAAACAATATCACACAGGGTTCGTACGGCCTCTGTGATATTGGGAGTAATATTATTTTCTCCCCCCCCCCGATATTAGGAAATATGTCACAGGTACACCCCCTGCGATATTGAAAGTAATATAATTCTCTTCTTCACTAAATATTAAGAACAATATCACTGGGGGTGTGTAAACCCCCTGAGATATTGAAAGTAATATCCTCTCCCCCCGGGATATTAAAAACAATATTACACGAAAATTGTACACCTTCTGCACAATTGGGAGTAATATCATTTTTTCCCTTGCCGGATATTAAGAACACTTCCTTCGATATTGGGAGTAATGTCATCTTTTTCTCTCTTGCATATTAAGAACAATATTAGAGGGGGTTTGTACACCCCCTGCAATAGTGGGAGTAATATCATCCTCTTCCTCCCTGCATATTAGGAAAAATATCACAGAATGGGTATACACCCTCTGTGATATTGAGAGAAATATCTTCCTATTCACTCCTGGGTATTAGAAATAATATCACAAAGTTGGGGGTGTACACCCCCTGCGATACTGGAAGTAGTATTATTTTCTCGCCCCCTGGATATTAGAAACAATATCACAGGGGGGTTTACACCCATGAAATATTGGAAGTAATATCATCCTTTCTTCCACTGGATGTCAGGAACAATCTCACAGGAGGGGTGTACACCCCCTGCGATTTGGGGAGTAGTATAATCTCCCCCCTTGATATTAGAAACTATATCTCAGGGGGCGTATAACCCCCCTGTGATTTTGACAGCAATAATCATCTTCTCCCTCATTGGATATAAAAAAAGTCACAAGTGGAGTGTACACCCCCTGCGATATTGGGAGTAATATCATCCTCTTTTCTCCTGAATATTAGGAATAAAATCAAAGGGCAGGTGTACACCACCTACGATATTAATAGCATCTTCTCTTTCTCTAGACATTAGGGACAATGTCACAGTGGGGGCATAGACTCCCCCTGTGATATTGAGAGTAATATCATCATCTCTTTCTCTGGATATTGGGAACAATATCACAGAGGGGTTTTACACCCACTATGATATTTGTAGTAATATTATTCTGTCCTCTCCTGGATATTAGGAACAATACCACAAGAAGGTTCTACACCCTTTGCGATATCGGGAGTAATATCATCCTCTCTTCCCCTGGAAATTAGGAACAATGTTACAGGGAGCGTGTACACCCCCTGCCATATTGGGAGTAATGTCATCTTCTCTGCCCTGGATATTTAACGCCATATCACAGGGGTGGTGTACACTACCTGCGAAATTGGGAGTAATATAATCCTTTCCTCTCTTGATATTAGAAACAATATCAAAAGGGGTGTATCACAATTACACCCCTTGCGATATTGGGAGTAATATCATCCTCTCTCCCCTTGAATATTAGGAACAATATCACAGGGGTGTGTACACTTTCTGTGATAATGGGACTAATGTCGTCCTCTTCCCCCCTGGATATCAGGCACAATATTACAGGGTGTGTGTACACTCCCTGCGATATTAAAAGCAATATCATCCTCTTCCCCCATGGTTATTATAAACAGTATCACAGGGGATGTCGTATACCCCCTGCGATATTGAAAGCTATATTATCCTATACCCCTCTGAATATTAAAAATATTATCACAGAAAAAGTGTACACCTCTGCAATATTAGGAGTAATACCATCCTCTTGTCTAATGGATATTAAGAACAATATCACAGTGGGAGTGTACACCCCTGCGACATTGGAAGTAATATCATCCTCTTTCCCTCTGAGTATTAGAGACAATATCAAAAAGAGGTGTACACCCCCTGCAATATTGGGAGTGATATCATTTGTTCCCCTTATTTATATTAGAAACAATATCACATGGAAGGTGTATACCCCCAGCGATATTAAGAGTGATATCATCCTCTTTCTCTCTGGATATTAGGAACAATACCACAGGGGAGGTGAACACCTCCTTCTATACTGGGTGTAATATCATCCTCTCTCTTCCTGGATATTAGAAGTTATACCACAGGGGTGTGTACAATCCTTTTGATATTGAAAGTAATATCATCCTCTTTCCATTTGGATATTAGGAACAATATCACAGAAGGGGATGTACACCCCCTTCAATATTGGGAGTAAAACCATTTTTTCCCCGCCTGGATATTAGAAACAGTATCACAGGGAGGGGGCGGTGTACACGCTCTGCGATAGTGGAAGTAATGTCATCCTCTTCACCCTCAGATATTAGGATCAATATCACTGAGAAGAGTGTACACACCCTACGATATTGGGTGTAATATCATTTTATCCCACCCTAAACATTAGGAACAATATCACAGGGAGGGTGAACACTCCTTGTTAAATTGAGAGTAATATAATCCTGTCCTCCCCTGGATATTAGAAACAATTTCAAAGCAGGTGTGTACAACCCTTGTGATATTGGGAGAAATATCATCCACTCTCCTTCTAAATATTGGGAATAATATCACAGGGAGGATGTACACTCCCTCCGATATTGAGAGTAACATCATCCTCGTCTCCACTGGATGTTAGGAACAATTTCAAAGCGGGGGGGTTTCGGTACGGATATTGGGAGTAATATTATCCACTCTCCTTCTAAATATTAGGAACAATATCACAGGGAGGGTGTACACCCCCTGTGATAATGGGAGCCATATCATTTTCTCCCCTCATATGTATATAAAAACAATATCACAGAGGGAGAATACACCCCCTGAGATACTGGAAGTAATATCATCCTATCCTTTTCTGAATATTGGGAAAAATATCACGGGGGGTGTACACCTTCTGCGATATTCAAAGTAATATCCTTTTCTTCCCTTCATATTAGTAACATATCACGCTGGGGGGGCATAAACTCCCTGCTATATTAGAAATAATATCATCTTCTCCCCCCATATATGAAGAACAATATCACAGGGGGTTTGTACAACCCGTGTGACATTGCAGGTAATATCATCCTCTCTCAACCTGGATATTAAAAACAATATCACAGGGTAGTGTACATCCCGTGCGATATTGTGAGTGATATCTTCTCTTCCCCTAAATATTAGGAAAAATATTACAGGGAGAGTGTACACTCCCTACGATATTGAGAGTGATATCATTTTCTCCCCCTTTGTATATTAGAAACAATGTCACAGGGAGAGGGGTACAGCCTCTCCGTAGTTGGGAGTAACATTATCCTCTCCCCTCTTGAATTTTAAGAAGAATGTCACAGAGGAATGTACACCCCCTGCGATACTGAAAGTAATATTATTCTCTCTTTCACTGGAAATTAGGAACAATACCACGGGGAGTGTGTAAACCTTCTGCGATATTGGGAGCAATATCATCCTCTCCCCGTCTGGATATTAGGAACAATATTACAGGGGGGATGTACACCCCTTGCAATATTGGGAGTCATATCATCCTTTTTGCCCCTGGATATTAAGAACAATATCACAAAGAAGTTGTCCACCTGCTGCAATAGTGGGATTAATATCATCCTCTCCCCATCTGAATATTTGGAATAATATTACAGTGGGGGTGTACACAACCTACGATATTGAGAGTAATATCACTCTCTTCCCTCCTGCATATTAGAAACAATATCACAGGGGGTGGTCTACACTTTCTGCGATATTGAAAGCAATATCATACTCTTCCCGCAGAATATTAGGACTAATATCACGGGGTGGGTGTACAGCTTCTGCGATATTGAGAGTAACATTATTTTCTCCCCCTCTGGGTGTTAGAAACAATATCACAAGGGGGGGGTACACCCCTTGCGATATTGGGAGTAATATCATCCTCTTTCTGCCTTAATATTAAGAACAATATCACAGAAGGATTTACACCTCCTGAGATATTGGGAGTAATATCATTTCAACTAAAATAAAAACAATATCAGAGGGTGAGTGTATACTCCCTGCAATATTGAGATTAATATCATCTTCTCTTCCCCGGGATATTAGGAACAGTATCAAAGGGCAAGTGTACAATCTCTGGGGTATTGGAAGTAATATCATCCTCTCCTCTCCCTCAATATATATTATGAACAATATCCAAAAAAGGGTGTACACACCCTGCGATAATGGGAGTAATATCCTCCTCAACCCCTGGATATTAAGAAAAATATCACTAGGAAGGTGTAAACCTTCTGCGATATTGAAAGTAATATAATCCTTTTCCATCATTTATATTAGAAACAATATCACGGGGGGGGGTGTAAACTCCCTGTGATACTTTAAGTAATATCCTCTCTCATACTGTATATTAGAAACAATATCACAGGGGTTGTGTACACCCTGTGTGATATTGCAAGTAATATCATTATCTTCCAACCTGGATATTAGAAACAATATCACAGGAGGATGTACACGCCCTGTGATATTAAGAGTCATATCATCCTCTCCTCTCCCAAATATTAGAAACAGTATCACAGGGAAAGTGTACACCCCCTGCAATATTGGTAGTAACATTATTTTCTCTCCCCCTGGAACAATATCACAGGGTGGTGTACACCTTCTGTGATATTGACAGTAATATTATCATCTCCCTTCCTGGATTTTAGGAACAATATCACAAGAAGGGTGTACACCCTTTGAGATATTTAGAATAATATTATCCTCTTCCCCTCTGGATATTACGAACAATATTACAAGAGGTTGTACACCCCCTGCGATATTGGGAGTAATGTCATCTCCCCACCTGGATATTAGGAAAAATGTCACAGAGGAGGTGTGTACCCAAACTGCAACATTGGGAGTAATATCATTCTGCCCCCCCCAGATATTAAAAACAATATAACAAGGGTGTGTACACTGTTCACGATATTGGCAGTAATAACACCTTTTCTCCCCATGGGTATTAGGAGCAATAACACAGGGGCTGTGTACAGTTTCTGTGATAATGGGAGTAATGTCATTCTCTCCCATCCTGGATATTAGAAATAATATCAAAAATTGGTTGTACACTCCCTGTGATACAGAATGTAGTATCATCTTTTTTCCCCTGAATATTATGAACAATATCACAGGGTGAGGTGTACAACCCCTGCGATAGGAAGTAATACCATCCTTTTTCTCCCTGGGTATTAAAAATATATTACAAGGGGGGTGTACACCCTCTGCGATATTGGGAGTGACATCATTTATCTCCCCCTGGATATTAGGAACAATATCGCAGGGGGGTAATAGACCCCCTTAGATATTGGGAGTGATATCATCCTCCCTCGCCCTTATATTAGGAAGAATATAACGGGGGTGTGTTCATCCCTGGATAATAGGAAAAGTATTAAAGGAAGGGTCTACATCCCCTGGGATATTGGAAGTAATATCAAAGGAGGGGGTGCACACCCCTTTGGATGTTGCAAATAATATTATCTTTTCTCCACCTAATTATTAGGAACAATATCAAAGGGAGGGTGTACACAGCTTCGATATTTGGAGTAATATTACCCTCTTCCCCCCTGTATATTAGGAACAGTATCACACAGTGAGTGTACACCTCTTGCAATATTAAGAGTAATATCATCCTCTACCCCCCTGGATATTAGGAAACATATCACTGAGAAGATGAACAACACCTGCAATATTGAAAGTAATATAATCCTCTTTCTCCATATTAGAAATAATATAATAAGAGTGGTGTAAACTTCCTGTTATATTGGGAGTAATATCATTTTCTCCCCCCCCCTTATATTAGAAACAATATCACAGGGCTGTATACAACCCATGCCATATTGGAAGTAATGTCATCCTCTCCCAACCTGGATATTTAAAACAGTATCACAGGAGGATGTACAAGTCCTGTGATATTAAGAGTAATATCCTCTCCCCTCTTGGATATTAGAAACAATATTACAGAGGGAGTGTACACCCCCTGCGACATTGAGAGTAATATAATTTTCTCTTCCCCTAGGTATTAGAAACAATATCATGGGGGGCGTGTACACCCCCTGCGATATTGGAAGTAATATTATCTTCTCCCCCTAGGATATTAGTAACAATATCACAGGGGATGTATACCCCCTGTGAAATTGAAAGTAATATCATCCTCTCCTTCACTGAAATTAAGAACAATATCACAGGAGGTGTGTAAACCCCCTGTGATATTGGGAGTAATATTATCTTCTCTCCCCCTAGATATTAGGGACAATATTACAAAAGGGGTGTGTACACTCCCTGGGATATTGGGAGTAATATTATCATCTCCCCTTCTCATATAAAGAGCAATATCCCTGGCAAGTTTTACACCTGCTGCATTATTGGGAGTAATATCATCCTCTCCCACTTGGATATTAGAAACAATATCACGGGAGGGGATGTACACCCTCTGAGATATTGAGAATAATGTTATTCTCTCCCTCTTCAATATTAGGAAAAATATCAAGGGGGGGGTTTATATCCTCTGCGATATTGGGAGTAATATTATCCTCTCCCCTCCTGGATATTTGTAACAATATCACAGGTGGGTTGTACACCCTCTACAATATTTGGAGTAATATTATCCTACTCCCCCTTGGATATTAGGAACAATATCAAAGGGTTGGTGTACATCCCCTGAGATGTTGAGAGTAATATTATCCTCTCCTTCCCTGGATATTAGAAACAATATCATAATGGGAGTTGTACACTCCCTGTGATATTGGGAGTAATATCATTCTGTCACCTACTTTATATTAGGAACATATCACAAAGTAGCTTACACTACCTCTGATATTGAGAGTAACATTATCCTCTCTTCCACTGGATATTAAAAGCAATCTCACAGGGAGTGTGTACACCCCCTGCAATATTGGGAGTGTTTTCGTCCTTTTCCCCCCTGGATATTAGGAATAATATCAAATGGCTGGTGTAGAACTCTTCCAATATTGAGTGTAATATCATCCTCTCTTTTTCTAGATATTAGGAACAATATCACAGAGGGTGTGTACACACCTTGTGATATTGGGAGTAAAATCATCCTCTCCTTGGATATTAAGAACAAACTCACAGCAGTGGAGATCACTTCCTGTGATATTATGGGTAACATTCTTTTCCTTCCTGGATATTAGAAACAATATCACAAAGGGGGTGTTCAAACCCTGCAGTATTGGGAGTAATATCAGTTGCTTAATTTTTAAATATTAGAAACAATATCACTGGGGGGTGTACACCCTCTGCAATATTGAATGTAGTATTATTTTCTCCCAAATTAAATATTTTATTATTATTATTATACATTAAGTTTAGGATACGTGCACACAACGTGCAGGTATGTATACCTAGATATGTATACATGTGCCATGTTGGTGTGCTGCACCCATTAACTGGTCATTTAGCATTAGGTATATCTCCTAATGCTATCCCTCCCCCCTACTCCCACCCCAAAACAGGCCCTGGTGTGTGATGTTCCCCTTCCTGTGTCCATGTGTTCTCATTGTTCAATTCCCACCTATGAGTGAGAACATGTGGTGTTTGGTTTTTTTGTCCTTGCGATAGTTTGCTGAGAATGATGGTTTCCAGCTTCATCCATGTCCCTACAAAGGACATGAACTCATCCTTTTTTATGGCTGCATAATATCCCATGGTGTATGTGTGCCCCATTTACTTAATCCAGTCTGGCATTGTTGGACATTCGGGTTGGTTCCAAGTCTTTGCTATAGTGAATAGTGCTGCAATAAACATATGTGTGCATGTGTCTTTATAGCAGCATGATTTATAAACCTTTGGGTATATATCCAGTAATGGGATGGCTGGGTCGAATGGTATTTCTAGTTCTAGATCCCTGAGGAATCACCACACTGCCTTCCACAAGGGTTGAACTAGTTTACAGTCCCACCAACAGTGTAAAAGTGTTCCTATTTCTCCACATCCACTCCAACACCTGTTGTTTCCTGACTTTTTAATGATTGCCATTCTAACTGGTGTGAGATGCTATCTCATTGTGATTTTGATTTGCATTTCTCTAATGGCCAGTGATGATGAGCATTTTTTCATGTGCTTTTTGGTTGCATAAATGTCTTCTTTTGAGAAGTGTCTGTTCATATCCTTTGCCCACTTTTTGAAGGGGTTGTTTGTTTTTTTCTTGTAAATTTGTTTGTGTTCATTGTAGATTCTGGATATTAGTCCTTTGTCAGATGAGTAGGTTGCAAAAATTTTCTCCCATTCTGTAGGTTGCCTGTTCACTCTGATGATGGTTTCTTTTGCTTTGCAGAAGCTCTTTAGTTTAATTAGATCCCATTTGTCAATTTTGTCTTTTGTTGCCATTGCTTTTGTTGTTTTAGACATGAAGTCCTTGCCCATGCTTATGTCCTGAATGATATTGCCTAGGTTTTCTTCTAGGGTTTTTACGGTTTCAGGTCTAACATTTAAGTCCTTAATCCATCTTGAATTAATTTTTGTATAAGGTGTAAGTAAGGGATCCAGTTTCAGCTTTCTACATATGGCTAGCCAGTTTTCCCAGCACCATTTATGAATAGTATACTTTGAAGTCAGGTAGCGTGACAAACCCACATCCAATATCATACTGAGTGGACAAAAACAGGAAGCATTCCCTTTGAAAACTGGCACAAGACAGGGATGCCCTCTCTTATCACTCCTATTCAACATAGTGTTGGAAGTTCTGGCCAGGGCAATCAGGCAGGAGAAGGAAATAAAGGGCATTCAATAATGGGGAAAGGATTCCCTATTTAATAAATGGTGCTAGGAAAACTGGGTAGCCATATGTAGAAAGCTGAAACTGGATCCCTTCCTTACACCTCATACAAAAATTAATTCGAGGTGCATTAAAGACTTAAACAGTAGACCTAAAAGCATAAAAACCCTAGAAGAACACCTGGGAATTAACATTCAGGACATACACATGGGCAAAGACTTCATGTCTAAAACACCAAAAGTAATGGCAACAAAAGACAAAATTGACAAATGGGATCTAATTAAACTACAGAGCTTCCACACAGCAAGAGAAACTACCATCAGAGTGAACAGGCAACTTACAAAATGGGAGAAAATTTACACAACCTACTCATCTGACAAAGGGCTAATGTCCAGAATCTACAATGAACTCAAAGAAATTTACAAGAAAAAAACAAACAACCCCATCAAAAAGTGGGTGAAGGATATGAACAGACACTTCTCAAAAGAAGAGATTTATGCAGCCAAAAGACACATGAAAAAATGCTCATCATCACTGACCATCAGAGAAATGCAAATCAAAACCACAATGAGATAGCATCTCACACCAGTTAGAATGGCAATCATTAAAAAGTCAGGAAACAACAGATGCTGGAGAGGATGTGGAGAAATAGGAACACTTTTACACTGTTGGTGGGACTGTAAACTAGTTCAACCATTGTGGCAGTCAGTGTGGTGATTCCTCAGGGATCTAGAACTAGAAATACCATTTGACCCAGCCATCCCATTACTGGGTATATTTAAATTGCGGGTGGCATACATCCCCTTGGGATATGATTTGCAATATCCCGGGAAAAAGATGGTGATACTACTCTCCATATTGTGGGGTAGGTTACATCCCCTTGTGATATAATTCATAATATCTTGGGAAAAAGATGGTGATATTACTCCTCACTTCACTGGGGAGGTTACATCCCCCTGTGATATAATTCATAATATCCAGTGGGGGAGAGGTTTATATTACTCCCCATATTGCAAGAAAGGTACACCTCTCTGTGATATTGTTCATAATATCAAGGCAGGGAGAGAATGATACCACTTTCAATATTGCAGGGAGTGTACAAGCCAATGTGATATTGTTTCTAATATGGGGGGGAGGATATTACTCCCAATATTGCAGAGAGTGTACACCCCCACTGTGATATTGTTTTTAATATCCAGGGAGAGAAAGGAAGATATTACTTTCAATATCGCAGGGGGTGTACACCCTTCCTAGGGATTTTGTTCCCAATATCCAAGCAGGAGAGGATATTACTCCCAATGTTGTAGAGAATGTACACCCTCCTGTGATATTGTTTGTAATTTATATTGGGGGAGAAGATGATATTACTCCCAATGTCGCAAAGGGTGTACTCCACCCTGTGATATTGTTCATAATATCCAGGAGTTGGAGGACATTATTACTCCAAATATTGCAAGGGTTGTACACTCCCCTGTTATATTGTTTGTAATATCCAGGGAGAAAGAGGTTGATATTACTCCTAATATCACAGATGGTGTACCCCCCATGTGATATTTTTTATAATACCCAGGGGGGTAGAGGATGTTATTACTCCCAACATCGCAGGGGGTGTAACCTTCCTGTGATATTGTTCATAATATCCAGAAGTGGAGAGGATATTACTCCCAATATCACAGGGGGTTTAAAATCTCCTGCGATATTGTTCCTAATATTCAGAGGGGGAGAGGATTATATTTTGAACAGTATCACAGGGGTTTTACACCCCTCTGTGATACTGTTTGTAATATTCAGGAAAAAGAGGATGATATTCCTCCCAATATCGCAGAAGTTGTACATCCCCCTGTGACATTGTTCTTAATACCTAGAGGGGAAAAAGATGCTATTACTTCAAGTACTGCAGGAAGTGTACACCTGCCTGTGATATTATTTGTAATATTAAGGAGGGGAGAGGATGATGTTACTTGCAATATCACAGAGTGTACACTAGCTGTGATAATGTTCCTAATATCCAGAGGTGGGGAGGATGATATGACAACCCAAATCGCAGGGAGTGTACACTCACCTGTGATATTATATGTAACATCAAAAAGAGGAGAGGATGATATTACTCTCAATATCAATATCAAAGGGGGAATGCATCCCCATGTACTATTTTTCATGATTTCCAGAAGGGGAGAGGATGATATAACTCTTAATATCGCAGAGGGTGTACACCACCCTTTGATATTGTTCATAATATTTAGGGGGTGAGAGGATGACATTACTCAATATCACAGAGGGTGAACACCCCTCCATATTGTTTGTAATATTTAGGTGGGGAGAGGATGATATCATTCCCAATATTGAAGGGGCTGCACACCCCTCTGTGATATTGTTTGTAATATCCAGGGTGGGAGAAGATAATATTACTTTGCAATATCTCAGGGGGTGTACAACCCAGTGTGATATTGTTCGTAATATCCTGGGAAAATATCAAAGGCCCTATGCATGCCACTGTAATATTGTTTGTAATATCCAAAAAGAAAAAGGATGATATAACTCCTAATATCCCAGGGAGTGTACACCCCCATATGATGTTGTTTGTAATATACAGGGAGGAGAAAATGATATTACTTTCAATATCACAAGGGTTGTACAGCCTGCCGTAATATTGTTTGAAATATCCAAAAGAGGAGAGGTTACCCCTCTGTGATATTGGGTGTAGTAACATCCTCTTCCCCATTGGATATTAGGAAAAATATGAAAGGGGGGGTGTACGCATCCTGCAATATTGGGAGAAATATTGTCCTCTTTTTTGTTAGATATGAGAAACAATAGCACAGTGGGTTTGTACACCCCCTTCGATATTGGGAGTAAGATTATCCTCTTCCTTCTTGGATATTAGGAACAGTATCACGGATAAGGGGAGTAAGCCCTCTGCATTATTGAGAGTAATGTCATCCTCTCCCCTTCTGGATATTAGGAACAATATCAAAGGAGAAACATACACTCCCTGTGATATTGGGAGTAATATCATCCTATTGCCCTGTTGATATTAGCAACAATATCACAGAAAGATTGTACACCCTTTGTGATATTGAGAGTAATATTATCGTCTTCTCCCTGGGTATTAGCATCAATATTACAAAAAGGTGTACACCGCCTGCGATACTAGGAGTAATATCATCCTCTCCCTCCTCCCCCAGATATTAGAAACAATAGAATCAAATAGATGCAATAAAAAATGATAAGGGGATATCACCACCAATCCCACAAAAACACAAACTACCATCAGAGAATATTATAAACAGCTCTACACAAATAAACTAGAAAATCTAGAAGAAATGGATAAATTCCTCAAAACATACACCCTCCCAAGACTAAATCAGGAAGAAGTTGAATCTCTGAATAGATCAATAACAGGCTCTGAAATTGTGGCAATAATCAATAGCTTACCAATCAAAAAGAGTCCAGGACCAGATGGATTCACAGCCGAATTCTACCAGAGATACAAGGAGGAACTGGTACCATTCCTTCTGGAACTATTCCAATCAATAGAAAAAGAGGGAATCCTCCCTAACTCATTTTATGAGGTCAGCATCATCCTGATACCAAAGCCGGGCAGAGACACAACCAAAAAAGAGAATTTTAGAGAATATCCTTGATGAACATTGATGTAAAAATCCTCAATAAAATACTGGCAAACCAAATCCAGCAGCACATCAAAAAGCTTATCCACCATGATCAAGTGGGCTTCATCCCTGGAATGCAAGGCTGGTTCAATATACGCAAATCAATAAATGTAATCCAGCATATAAACAGAACCAAAGACAAAAACCACATGATTATATCAATAGATGCAGAAAAGGCCTTTGACAAAATTCAACAACCCTTCATGCTAAAAAATCTCAATAAATTAGGTATTGATGGGACATATCTCAAAATAATAAGAGCTATCTATGACAAACCCACAGCCAATATTATCCCGAATGGACAAAAACTGAAGGATTCCCTTTGAAAACTGGCACAAGACAGGGATGCCCTCTCTCACCACTCCTATTCAACATAGTGTTGGAAGTTCTGGCCAGGGCAATTAGGCAGGAGAAGGAAATAAAGTGTATTCAATTAAGAAAAGAGGAAGTCAAATTATCCCTGTTTGCAGATGACATGATTGTATATCTAGAAAACCCCATCATCTCAGCCCAAAATCTCCTTAAGCTGATAAGCAACTTCAGCAAAGTCTCAGGATACAAAATCAATGTACAAAAATCACGAGCGTTCTCATACAACAAGAACAGACAAACAGAGAGCCAAATCATGAGTGAACTCCTATTCACAATTGCTTCAAAGAGAATAAAATACCTAGGAATCCAACTTACAAGGGATGTGAAGGACCTCTTCAAGGAGAACTACAAACCACTGTTCAATGAAATAAAAGAGGATACAAAGAAATGGAAGAACATTCCATGCTCATGGGTAGGAAGAATCAATATCATGAAAATGGCCATACTGCCCAAGGTAATTTATAGATTCAATGCCATCCCCATCAAGCTACCAATGACTTTCTTCACGGAATTGGAAAAAACTTCTTTAAAGTTCATATGGAACCAAAAAACAGCCCACATTTCCAAGTCAATCCTAAGCCAAAAGAACAAAGCCAGAGGCATCAGGCTACCTGACTTCAAACTATACTACAAGGCTACAGTAACCAAAACAGCATGGTACTGGTACCAAAACAGAGATATAGATCAATGGAACAGAACAGAGCCCTCAGAAATAACACCGCATATCTACAACTATCTGATCTTTGACAAACCTGAGAAAAACAAACAATAGGGAAAGGATTCCCTATTTAATAAGTGATGCTGAGAAAACTGGCTAGCCATATGTAGAAAGCCGAAACTGGATCCCTTCCTTATATCTTATACAAAAATTAATTCAAGATGGACTAAAGACTTAAACGTTAGACCTAAAACCATAAAAACCCTAGAAGAAAACTTAGTCGTTACCATTCAGGACATAGGCATGGGCAAGGACTTCACGTCTAAAACACCAAAAGCAATGGCAGCAAAAGCCAAAATTGACAAGTGAGATCTAATTAAACTAAAGAGCTTCTGCACAGCAAAAGAAACTACCATCAGAGTGAGCAGGCAATCTACAAAATGGGAGAAAATTTTTGCAACCTACTCATCTGACAAAGGGCTAATATCCAGAATCTACAATGAACTCAAACAAATTTACAAGAAAAAAAAAACCCATCAAAAAGTGGGTGAAGGACATGAACAGACACTTCTCAAAAGAAGACATTTATGCAGCCAAAAAACACATGAAAAATTGCTCATCATCACTGGCCATCAGATAAATGCAAATCAAAACCACAATGAGGTAGCATCTCACACCAGTTAGAATGGCAATCATTAAAAAGTCAGGAAACAACAGATGCTGGAGAGGATGTGGAGAAATAGGAACACTTTTACACTGTTGGTGGGGCTGTAAACTAGTTCAACCATTGTGGAAGTCAGTGTGGCGATTCCTTAAGGACCTAGAACTAGAAATACCATTTGACCCAGCCATCCCATTACTGGGTATATACCCAAAGGATTATAAATCATGCTGCTATGAAGACACATGCACACGTATGTTTATTGCAGCACTATTCACAATAGCAAAGACTTGGAACCAACCCAAGTGTCCAACAACAGTAGACTGGATGAAGAAAATGTGGCACATATACACCATGGAACACTATGCAGCCATAAAAAAGGATGAGTTCATGTCCTTTGTAGGGACATGGATGAAGCTGGAAACCATCATTCTCAGCAAACTATCGCAAGAAGAAAAAACCAAACACCGCGTGTTCTCACTCATAAGTGGGAATTGAACAATCAGAACACATGGACTCAGGAAGGGGAACATCACACACTGAGGCCTGTTGTGGGGTGTGGGAAGCAGGGAAGGAAAGCATTAGGAGATATACCCAATGTAAGTGACGTGTTAATGGGTGCAGCACACCAACACGGCACATGTATACATATGTAACAAACCTGCATGTTGTGCACATGTACCCTAGAACTTAAAGTATAATAAAAAACAATAATAAAATTAAATAAATTTTTTTAAAAAAGAAATATATTACGGGGTGGTGTACAACCCCTGCAATATTGAAAGTAATATCCTCCTCTTACCCCCTGAATATTATAAACAATATCACAGGGAATGTGTACACCCCCTGCGATATTGGGAATAAAACCATTTTCCACCTGGTTGAATGTTAGAAGCAGTATCATACGGGAGGTTAACACCTCATGCGATTTGGGAGTAATATCATCCTTTACCTCTCTGGATAGTGAAAACAACATCACCAAAAGGGTGTGCACACCCTGTGATATTGGGTCCCCAACTGAATATTAAAAACCATATCACAGGCGGGTGTATGCCCCCTGCGATATTGAAAGTAATATCATTTTTTCCCCCTTTTGATATTAAGAACAATAACACAGGGGGGCTCTATACACCCTGCAATATTGGGAATAATATTCTGTCCTCCCCCACTGGATATTAAGAACAATAGCACAGGGGAGTTGTAAACCCGCTGCGATATTGGGAGTAATGTCATCCTTTTATCCCCTTAATATTAGGAACAATATCACAGGGGGTGTGTACGTCTCCTGCAATAGTGGGAGTAATATCCTCTCCCTTTCTGGATATTAGGAACAATATCACTGAAAAGGTGTACACTCCCTGTATTATATGGAGTAATATCATCCTTTCCCTTCCTGGATATTAGGAACAAAATCACAAAAGGGATGTACACTCTTGGCGATATTCAAAGTGATATAATCTTCTACCCCCCTGGATATTATGAACATTTCCAGGTGGGTGTACACTTTCTGCGATATTGAGAGTAATAACATCCTCTCACCTCTGGATATTACAAACAGTATCACAGGGTGGGTGTACACCCCTGCAATATTGGAAGTAATAACATCCTCTCTCTACCTTTATATTAGGAACAATATCACAGGGGCGTGTACACCCCTGCCATATTGGGAGTAATGCCATTTTCTTCCCCCTTGGAAAATAAGAACAATATAACAGGGGTGGTGTACATCCCCTGCGATATTGGGAGTAATATCATCCTTTCCCTCTTTAGATATGAGGAGCAATATCACAGTGGGTTGTACACATCCTGCGACATTGAGAGTAATTTCATATTCTTTCCCTCTGGATATTAGGAACAATATCGCAGAGGGGGTTTACACCCCATGTGATATTTGAAGTAGTATCATTTTCTTTCCCTCTGGATATTAAAAACAATATCAAGGGTAGATGTATACCCCCTGCGATATTGGGAATAATATCACCCTCTTTCTCCAGGAATATTAAAAACAATAACACAAGAGTTGTACATCTCTTGCGATATTTTGAGTAATATCATCCTCTCGCTCCCTGGATATTAGGATCAATATCACCGGGGGGGGGGATGTATACCCTTTGCGATATTGAGAGCAATATCATCCTCTCCCTGCCTTAATATTAGGAACAATATCCAAAGGGGGTGTACACACCCTGCAATTCTAGGAGTAATAGTATTCTTTCCCCCCTTAAATATTAGGAACAATATCATAAGGGAGGTGTACACCCCCTGTGATATTTGGAGTAATATCCAACTCTTTTCCCCTGTATATTAGGAACCATTTCACAGGGGGTGTGTTCACCCCCTGTGATATTTGGAACAATATCAACCTCTTCCCCTCTGGATATTAGGAATAATATCACAGGGGTGGATACACTTTCTGTGATATTAAGTGTAATATCATCCTCTCCCTGCCTGGATGTTAGAAACAATATCACAGGGCGAATATAAACCCAATGCGATATTGCAAATAACATCATCCTCTCCTTCGCTTTATATTTGGAACAATATCACGGGGGGGTGTACGCCCCATGTGATATTGGAAGTAATATCCTCTTCCCCTTTGTATATTAAAAGCAATATCAGAGGGAGGGTGTACATTCCCTGTGATATTTGGCATAATATTATTTTCTCTCTCCTTGGATATTAGGAACAATATCACAGGGAAGGATTACACCCCATGAGATATTGAAAGTAATAAGGGGCCAGGTGCAGTGGCTCACACCTGTAATACCAGCACTTTGGGAGGCTGAGGTGAGTGGATTACAAGGTCAGGAGTTTGAGACCAGGCTGGCCAATATGGTGAAACCTCCTCTCTACTAAAAATACAAAAATTAGCCGGGATTGGTGGCAGGCCCCTGTAGCCCCTGCTACTCGGTAGTCTGAGGCAGGAGAATAGCTTGAACCCGTAAGACAGAGGTTGCAGTGAGCCAAGATTGCACCACTGCACTGCAGCCTGGGCCACAGAGCAAGGCTCCGTCTAAAAAAAAAAAAAAAGTAATATTATCCTCTACCCCCTGGATATTAGAAACAATATCACAGGGAGGGTGTACATCTTCTGCGATATTGGGAGTAATATCATTTTCTCCCCTGCTAGATATTAGAAACAATATCACGGGGGGGGTTACATCCCCTGCGTTATTGAGAATATTATCCTCCCCCCTGGGTATTAGAAACAATATCATGGGAGCGGTGTACACCCCCTGCAATACTGGGAGTAATATCACCCTCTCCCTGACTGGATATTAGAAGCAATATCACGGATGGGTGTACACCCCCTGCTATATTGAAAGTAATATCATCCTGTCCCTTCCTTCATATTGGGAACAATATTACAGGGGGGTGTACACTCTCTGCGATGATGAGAGTAATATCATCCTCTCCCCCCCCCCGGATATTAAGAACAATATCACAGGGTGGTGTACACCAACTGCGATATTGGTTGTAATATATTCCTCTCCTCCCCTGCATATTAGGGACAATATCAAAGAGGGGGTGTACATTCCCTGTGATATTGGGAATAATATCATCCTTTCCCTCCCCTAGATATTAGAAACAATATCACAGGGGGGTGTACACCCCCTGAGATATTGGGAGTAATATTATTTTCTCCCCCCCTAGATATTAGGAACAATATCACAGGGTGGGTGTACACACCCTGTGATATTAAGAATAATATCATCCTCTCCCCTCCTGGGTATTAGAAACAATATCACAGGAGTGTGTACATCCCCTGCGATATTGGGCTAATATCTTCCTCTCTTCTCTTGGATATTAGGAACAATATCACAGGGAAAGTTTACACCGCCTGCGATATTGTGAGTAATTTATCTCTCACCCCTTGGATATTAGGAACAATTTCACTTGGGGTGATGTACAGTCCTGCAATATTTGGAGTATATCACCCTCTACCTCCCTGGATATTAAAAACAATATCACAGGGAAGGTGTACACGTTCTCTGATTTTGACAGTAACATTATCCTCTTTCCCCCTGGATATTAGTAACAATATCACAGGATGGGTGTACACCTCTTGGATATTGGGAGCATTATAATTTTCTCAGTTCCTTGAATATTACGAACAATATCATAGGATGGGGTACACCTTCTGTGATATTGGGAGTAATGTAGTCCTCTCCTCCCTAAATGTTATGAACAATATAACAAGGGGCTTTTCACCCCCTGCAATATTGGGAGTAATATCATCTTCTTCCCTTCTGCATACTACTAACAATATCACAGGAAGGTATGGACCTTCTGCGATATTGGCAGTAATATCATCCTCTTTCCTTCTGATTATTATAAACAACACCAGAGGGGGGTAAAAACCCCCTTCGATATTTGGAGTAATATCATCCTCTCCCTCACTAGATATTACAAACAATATCACAAAGACGTGTACACCTGCTGCAATATAGGGAGTAATATCACCCTCTTTCTTTCTGGATATTATGAACAATATCACAGGGTGGTGAAAATTTTCTGTGACATTGGGAGTAATATCATCCTCTCTTCCCCTGGATATTACAAACAATATCACAGGGCTGCTTACACCTCCTGCGATATTGAGAGTTATATTATCCTCTCTGCCTCAGATATTACAAACCATATCAGAGGGGGTTTACACCCCCTATGATATTGGGAGTAATATTATCCTCTCCCCCTTTGCATGTTACAAACCATATCACAGGGGGCTGTACAACCTCTGCGATAAGGGGACCTATACACCTTCCCCCTGCCCCGATATTATGAACCATATCAAAGGGGGGTATACATCCCCTGCGACATAGGAAGCAATATAACCCTGTCCCCATTTGCATGTTATGAACCATATTACAGGGGGCTGTACCCCCTTCCCGTTATAGGAGCAATATCACTCTCTCCCCCCCAGTATTACAAACCATATCAGAGGGGGGTGTTCACCCCTAGCCATATGGGGAGCAATATCACCCTCCCACCTATGGATATTACAAACCATATCACAGGGGGGTGTACTCCCCTGTGATATGGGGAACAATATCGCCCTCACCGTCCCCCCCAGATATTACAAACCATATCACAGCAGGTTGTACACCCCCTGCGATATGGAAAGCAATATTACCTCCTCGTTCCCTGGATACTACAAACCATATTACAAGGGGGTGTACACCCCACGTTTTACGAGGAGCAATATAACCCTCTCTCTCCGTGGATACTAAAAACCATATCACTGTCTCCCCCTTGGATATGAGGAACCATATCACAGACGGGTGTATGCCCCCCCACGATATGGGAAGCAATATTACCTTCTCACTCCTGGATATTAAGGAACATATTAAAGGGGGGGTGTACACCCGCCACTATATAGGGAGCAATATCAACCTCTCCCCCCAGGATATTAAGAACTATATCACAGGGGGTGTACACCTCTCGCGGTATGGGGAGCAATATCACCCTCTTTCCTCCTGGATACTACAAACCATATCACAGGCAGGTGCACACTGCTTGCGAAATGAGGAGCAATATCACTCTTCCCCCACCCCTGGATATTAAAAACCATATTACAAAGGGGTGTACACCCCTTGCGATATGTGAAGCAATATCACTCTTCCCCCCCCCCCCCGAATATTATGAACCATATGACAGGGGGTTGTACGCACTTTGGGATATGGGGAATAATACCACACTCTTCCCCCCCCCCCCGGATATTATGAACCATATTACAGGGGGTTGTACACCCATGATATGGGGAGCAATGTCACCCTTTCCCCCATGGATATTACCAACCATATCACATGGGTGTACACCTCCTGTGGTATGGGGAGCAATATGACCCTCTCGTTTCTTGGATATTACAAACCATATAACAAGAAGGTGTACACGCCCCTCGATATAAGGAGCAATATCATTCTCTTCCCTACTTGATATTGCGAACCATATTACATGAAGGTGTACACCCCCATCGATATGGGGAGCAATATTACCCTCTTCCTCCCTGGATATTATGAACCATATCACAGAAAGGTGTACACCTCCCGCGATATGGAAAGCAATGTCACCCACTCCCCTTCTGGATATTACGAACCATACCACGGGGGTGGGGTGTACTTCCTCCACAATATTGGGAGAAATATAACCCATTCCCTCCTAAATATTACCAACCATAGTGCAGGGGGTGTACACATAGAATATTTACGATATAAAAGAGTAATATTTTCTCCCCTTCTGGACATTAGAAACGATATCACAGTGGGGATGTACCTGCCTTGGGATATTGGGAGGGATATAATTATCCCCCCACCTGAATATTAGAAACCATATCAAACGGAGGTTTTACACCTTCGGTGATTTTTGGGAGTAATATCAACCTCTCCTTCACTGGATATTAGGAAAAACATTACGGGGGCGGGTGGGTGTACACCTTCTGCGATATTGAAAGTAATATCACCCTCTCCCCCCATCCCCCCGCTTATGAGAAACGATACCACAGGGGAGGTGTACACTCCCTCCGACAATGGGAGTAATATTCTCTTTCTTCCTGAATATTAGGAACAATATCACAGAGGGGTTTTACGCCTGTAATCCCAGAACTTTGGGAGGCCGAGGTGGGTGGATTGCTTGAAGTCAGGAGTTCAAGACCAGCCTGACCAACATGGGGAAACCCTGTCTCGACTAAAACTACAAAAATTAGCCGGGTGTAGTGGCAGACGCCTATAATCCCAGTTAGTCCAGAGGCTGAGGCAGGAGAATTCCTTGAACTTGGGAGGCGGAGGTTGCAGTGAGCCGAGATAGTGCCACTGCACTCCAGCCTGGGCGACATGGCAAGACTCCGTCTCAAAAAAAAAAAAAAAAATCACAGGGCGGTGTACACACTCTTTGATAATGCGAGTAATATCATCCTATTTCCCCCTGAATATTAGGAACATCACAGCGAGCGTGTACACCCCCTGTGATATTGGGTGTAGTATCATACTTTCCCCCCTGGATATTACGAACAATATCACAGGGGTGGTGTACACTTGGGGTGGTGTCCACTTGCTGCGATATTGGGAGTAATATCATCCTCTCCCCCCTGGATAGTAGGAAAAATATCACAGGGGAGTGTATACCCCTTGCAATATTGGGAGAAACATCATCGTCTCCCCCCCAGGTTATTTGGAACAATATCTGCGATATTGAAAGTAATATAATCCTCTCCTCCCACTGGATATTACAAACATTATCACAAATGGGGTTTACAGTCCCCGCGATATTGGCAGTAATATAATCTCTCCACCCCCTCTGGATATTAGGAACAATATCACATGAAGGTGTACACCCCTTGCGACATTGGGAGTAATATCATCCTCTCACCACTGGATATTAGGGAGTAATATTATCTTTTCCCCCCTGATATTAGAAACAATATCATGGGGAGGGTTTACACCCCCTGTGATATTAACAGTAATATCCTCCTCTCCCCCCTCTGGATATTAAGATCACTATCACAGAGGGGGTGTTCACACCCTGCGATATTGGGAGTAATATCATACACTCATCGCCTGGACTTTAGGAACAATATCACGGGGGTGTGGGTGTAAATTCCCTTTGATATTGGAAGTAATAACTTCTTATGCCTTCATGGTTATTAGGAACAATATCACAGAAGTGGTTTATACTTCCTGTGATATTGGGAGTAAAGTAATCCTCTCTCCCCATGGATATTAGAAACAATATCACAGAATGAGTGTGCTCCTTCCACGATTTTGGGAGTAATATCATCCACTCCCCCATCCTGGATATTACAAACAAATTTCCAGGGGGGTGTACACACCCTGCGATATTAGGAGTAATATCATTCTCTCCTCTCCTGGATATTAGTAACAATATCACGGGAGGCCTGTACAGCCCGTTCGATATTGAAAGGAATATTGTCCTCCTTCCCTGGCATATTAAAAACAATATCACAGGGGAGGTGTAACCCCCCTGCGATATTGGGAGTAATATCATCCTTCCCCCCGGATATTAGAAACAATATCACAGAAGGGGTGTACACCCCTGCAATATTGGGAATAATATTATCATGTCCCCCACTAAATATTAAAAATAATATCGCAGGAGGAGTTTACACCTTTTGTGATATTGGGAGTAATATCCTCGTCCCCCCTGGATATTAGGAACAATATCACAGGAGTGGTGTACAACGTCTGCAATATTAGGAGTGATATCATTCCTTCTTACCCTGGATATTAGGAACAATATCACAGGGGAGGGTGTACACCCCCTGTGACATCAGGAGTAATATCATCCTCTCCCCACCTGAATATTAGAAAAAGTATCACAAGAAGTGTGTCAACCCCCTGGGATGTCGGGAGTAATATCATCCTCTCACCCCTAAATATTAGGAACAATATCACAGGGGGAGTGTACTCCTGCAATATTGGGAATAATATCATCCTCTTCCAGCCTGGATATTAGGAACTATATCACAGAGGGGGTTTACAACACCTGCAATATTGGGGGTAATATAATTTTCCCCCTGGATATTAGGAACAATATCACAGAAGGAATGTACACCCCCCTGTGATAATGGGTGTAACATCATTATCTCTCTGCCTGGATATTAGGAACAATATCACAGAAGGGGTATACAATGCCTGTGATATTGGGAGTAATATCAAACTCCCCCCGAATATTAGGAGCCATATTACAGGTGGGGTGTACACCCCCTGCAATATTGGGAAAAATGTCTTCCTCTCACTTTCTGGATATTAGGAAAAATATCACAAGGGAAGTGTACACCTCTTGCAATATTGGGAGTAATATCCTCTCCCCTCACCCCGGATATTAGCAAAAATATCACAGGGAAGGTATACACCCCCTGCGATATTGGGAGTAATATAATCCTCTCCCTCACTCTATATTGTGAACAACATTACAGGGAAAAGTGTACATCCCCTTTGATATTGGGCGTAATGTCATCATCTCCACCCTGGATATTAGGAACAATATCCCAAGGGGGTTCTATACCCTCTGCGTTGTTGAAAGTAATATAATCCCTCTTTCCCCTGAATATTAAAAACAATATCACAGAGGGGGTGAACATTCTCTGTGATATTGGTAGTAATGTCATCATTTTTTGCCCTGGATATGAAGAACAATATCACAGGGAAGGTGTACACCGCCTGCAATATTTGGAGTCATATCATCCTCTCCTCTTTTTAAATATTAGGAACAATATCACATGGGAGGTGCACACACCCTGAGATATTGGAGATAATGCCATCCTCTCCCCTCCCTGGATATTATGAACAATATAACAGAGGGATGTACACTTTCTGCGATATTGGGAATAATATAATTCTCTTTCGTTCTGGATATTAGAAGCAATATCATGAAGGGTTGCACACCCTCAGTGATATTGGAAGTAATATAATCATCTTCCCCTCTGGATATTAGGAATAATATGACAGGGGGTTGTACACTCCCTGCTATATCGGGAGTAATTGTATCCTCTACCCCCCTGAATATTAGGAACAAGATCACAGGGTGGGTGTACACCACCTGCATTATTGAGAGTAATATTATTCTCTCCCTGTCCCCCCGGATATGGGGAACTATATCACGGGGAGGGGAAGACATCGCCTGTGATATTGGGAGTAATGTCATCCTCTCCCTTTCCTGAATATTGGAAACAATATCAAAGGGGGAGTGTCCACCTCCTGTGATATCAAAAGTAATACCACTCTCTTTTTCTCTGGATATTAGGAAAAATATCAGGGGGGGTGTACACCCCCTGCGATATTGGGAGTAATATCATCCTCTTTCTCCCTAGATACTAGGAATAATATCACAGAGGGGGTGTAAACCCCTCTGATATTGGGAGAAATATTATCATTTCCACCCCCTGGATATTAGAAACAATATAACAGGAAGGGTATACACCCTGTTCAATATTGGGAGTAATATCATCCTCCCCCCCGCGAAGAGTAAAAGCAATATCACAGGGAGATCTACACCCTGTGTAATATTGGGAGTAACATAATCCTCTTTTCCCCTGGATATTAGAAACAATATCACAGAAGGGATATACACCCCCTGTGATATTGGGAGTAATATTATCCTCTCCTTCACTGGATATTGGAAACCATATTTCAGGGTGGTTGTACACCCCTGAGATATTGGGAGTAATATTATCCTCTTTCCCCTTGAATATTAGAAACAATACCACAGAGAGAATGTACACTTCCTGCAATATTGGGAGTAATATCATCTCCCTTTTTGGATATTAGAAACAATATCACAAGGGGAGTGTACACCCCCTGCAATGTAGGTCATAATATCATACTCTCTTCTCCTGGATATTAAAAAGAATATGAGAGGGGGATGTACATCCCCTGCAATATTAAGAGTAGCATCATTTTCTCCCTTCATGGCTACTAGGAATAATATCACATAAGTGGTGTACACTTCCTGCGATATTGGGAGTAATATTCTCTCTCTCACCCTGGATATTAGAACAATATCACAGAAGGGTTGTACATCTTCTGCGATACTGGGAATGATATCCTCTACCCTTCTGCATATTAGGAACAATATTACAAGTAGTAATAGTACACTTCTTGCGATATTGGGAGTAATATCATCCTCTCCTCCCCTTGGTATTACGAACAATATCACAGGAGGTGTGTACACCCACTTCGATATTGGGAGTAATATCATCCTTCCCCCCCCACATATTGGTAACAATATCACAGGGGAGTGTACACCCCCTTCGATATTTCGATATTGGGAGTAATATCATCCTCCCCATTTCCTGGATATTAGGAACAATATCACAGAGGTGTACACTCCCTGTGATATTGGGAGCAATATCATCCTCCCCACCCCATGGATATTAGGAACAATATCACAGGGAAGGAGTACACCTCCTGTGATATTGAGAGTAATATTATCTTCTCCCCTTCAAGATATTAGGAAAAATATCACAAGGGTGGTGTTCAACACCTGTGACATTGGGTTTAATAGCATCCTTTCCCACTCTTTATATCAAACAATATCACAGGGGGGTGTACACCTCCTGCGATATTGGGAGTAATATCACACTCTTTCCCCTTTGAATATTAGGAACAATATCACAGGAAGGGTGTAAACCCCCTGAAATATTGGGAGTAATATTATTCTCTTCCCCCTGGATATTAGGAACAATATTATGGGGGGTGTACAATCCATGCTCTATTGGAAATAATATCATCCTCTTTTTTCCTGGATGTTAGAAACTATATCACAGTGGGGAGGTACAACCTTTTCACTCCTTTGATATTGGGAGTAATATCATTTTGTTTCCCCCTGGATATTAGGAACAATATCACAGAAGAAATGCACACCTTCTGCAATATTGGGAGTAACATCATTTTCTTCTCACCTGGATATTAGGAGCAATATCGCAGAAAAGGTGTACACCCCCTATGATATTGGGCATAATGTCATTTTCTTTCAACCTAACTATTAAGAACCTGGGGAATGTACATCCTTTGCGATATTGGGAGTAACAAAGTCCTTTTCTCCCCTAGATATTAGGGACAATATCACAGGGAGGGGGGTGTACACGCCCTGCGATATTGTAAGTAATATAATCTTCCCCCCCAAAAAATATTAGGAACAATATCATGGGGGGGGTGTACACACACTGCGATATTAACAATAATATCATAGTCTTCACCCCTGAATATTAGGAACAATATCACAAAAGGGTTGTACGTTCCCTGCGATATTAAAAGTAATATCATCCTCTCCTTCCCCCACCCCAGATATTAGGAACAATATCACAGGGGAGGTGTACACTCCCTGCAATATTGAGAGTAATATCATCCTCTTCCACCTCTGGATATTAGAAGCAATATCACAGGGGGCTGTACACCTCCTGCAATATTGAGAGTAATATAATCTTCTCCTTTTCTGGATATTAGCAACAATATCATCGGGAAGGTGTACACCCCCTGTGATATTGGGAGTAATATTGCTCTCTCCCCTTTGGATATTATGAACAATATCACAGGGAAGGTTAAATCCCCGGTGATATTAGAAGTAATATCATCCTCTTTCACTCTGGATATTAGGAACAGTATCACATGTGGGGTGTAAACCTCCTCCAATATTGGGAGTAATATCATCCATTCCTTCCTGGATATTAGAGACAATATAGTAGAAAGGGTGTACATTGCGTGCATTGAGTAATATCATCCTCTCCTCCTCTTGATATTTCGAGCAGTATCACAGAGGGTGTACACACAGGCTGTTTACAATATTCAGGGTAATATTCTTTTTTTTTTTTCCCTGGATGTTACCAACAATGTCACGGGGGGATGTACACTGTTTGCGATATTGAGAATAATATCATCCTCTCCCCCCCCTTGATATTATGGACAATATTTAAAAGGGGTGTACACACCCTGCCTTACTGGGAGTAATATCATCCTCCCCCCACCCCCTGGGATATTACAAATAATATAACAGGGTGGTTACACGCCCTGTGATATTAGGAGTAACATCATCCTCTCTCCCCCTGGATATTACAAAAATTATCACAGTGGGTGTACAAAGAGGGTGTTTAAAGTATTGGGATGAATGTCATCCTCTCCCTTCCTGGGTATTACAAACAATATCACGGGGGGGATGTGTACACTTCCTGCGATATTGGGAGTAATATTGTCCTTTCTCCTTCTAAATATGATGAACAATACCATAGGTTGGTGTACACCCTTTGCAATATTGGGAGTAATATCGTCTTTTTCCCCTTTTGATATTACAAACAATATCACAGGAAGGTGTACAGCCCCTGTGATATTAAGAGTAATATCATCCTTGCCTTCGCTGAATATTATGAGCAATATCACAGGGGGCTGTACAGCCCCTGTGATGTTGAAAATAATATCATCCTCTCCCACACTTAATATTACGAACAATATCACAAGAGGGTGTACACCCCTTGCGATATTGGCAGTAAGACCATTTTTTCTTTTTCTTGATATTACGAACAATATCACATTAAGCTGTACACCCCCTGTGATACTGGGTGTAATATCATCTTCTCTGTTCCTGGATATTACGAACAATATTATAGGTTGGTGTACATCCTCTGCGATATTGGAAGCAATATAACCTTCCCCCTTTCTGAATATTATGAACAATATTACAGGGGTGTGTACACACCTAGTGATGGTCCAAGTAATATTATTCTCTCCTTTTTGGATATTATGAACAATATCACAGGGGGGTGTACACCCCTTGCGGTATTGGGAGTAATATTATTCTCTCCCCTTTAATATTACAAACAGTATCACCGAGAGTGTCCACACAGGGTGTTTATGATATTGGGAGTAATATCATCTCCCTTCTGGATATTACAAAGAATATCACCAGGGGCTGTACACCTCCTGCAATATTGGGAGTAATCATCCTTTTCTTCTCTGGATATTATGAACAATATCACAGGAAAGTGTACACCCCCTGCAATATGGGGAGTTATATTATCCTCTCTTTACCTGGATATTAAGAACAATATAACAAGGGGGTGTACAGCCCCCACGATATGGGGAGTAATATCCTCTCCCTCATTGGATATTACGAACAATATCACAGAAAGGTGTACACCCCGTGCAATATGGGAAAAATATTATATTCTCCCCCCCACATATTGAAAACAATATCACAGAAGGGTGTACACCCCCTGGAATATTGAGAGTAATATCATCCTCTTTTCACCTGGATATTACAAACAATATTCCAGGGGAATGTACATCCCCTGAGATATTGGGAGAAATATCCTTTTCTCCTTCCCTGGATATTACGAACAATATCCAATGTTCGTAATATCAATGAGGAGTAATATCATCCTCTACTTCACTGGATATTATAAACAATGTCACAGTGGGGTATACACCCCCTGTGATATGGCGAGTAATATCATCCTCTCCCTACCTGTATATTACTAACAATATCACAGGGGGTTTACACACAGGGGGTTTATGATTTTGGGAGTAATATCATCATGCTCTGAATATTATGAACAGTATCACAGGGGGTTGTACACTGCATTTTACATATTAATAGTAATATTATTCTCTCCCTACCTGAATTGCAAACAATATTACTGGGGGGTGTATAAGTACCCCCTGTGATATTGCGAGTAATATCATCCTCTCCACCCCAGGATATTACGAACCATATCACGGAGGGGATGTGCTCCCCTGCGATATGGGAGTAATATCATTCTCTCCCCTTCGTGATATTATAAACCATATCACCGGGTGGTGTACCCCCACCCACGATATAAAGAGTAATATATCTCTCTTTCCCCCAAAATATTACAAACCATATCACGGGGAGTGTACTCCACCCACGATAGGGGGAGAAATACCACCCTCCCTGCCCAGGGATATTACAAACCATATCACCGGGAGGTGTATGTAGAATAATATCAACCTCTCCACCCCCAAGATATTACAAACCATATCACGGGGGGTGTATGCCCTCCGCAATAATGAGGAGTAATATCACCCTCTCCTCCCCGGGATATTACACACCATATCACAGGGGGATATAGGCCCCATGTGATATGAGGATTAAGATCACCTTCTCTCCTTCAGGATGTTAAGAAACCATATCATTGAGGGTGTATGCCCCCCGCGATATTGGGAGTAATATCACCCTCTCCACCCTGGGGATATTATGAACCATATCACGAAGGGGGTGTACCCCCCCGCAATATGGGAGTAATGTTATTCTCTCTCCTTCGGGATATTATGAACCATATCAGCGGGTGGTGTACCCCGCCCCCCACGATATGAAGAGTAATTTCACTCTCTTTCCTCCAAAATATTACAAACCATATCATGGGGGGTTGTATGCCACCTGCGATAGGGGGAGAAATATCATTTTCTCTGCTCCGGGATATTACTAACCATATAACAGTAGGGTGTATTCCCCTGGCCATATGGGGAATAATATCACCCTCTTCCCCCCAATATATTACAAACCATATCACAGGGGGGTGTACGCCCTCCACTCTATGAGGAGTAACATCACCCTCTCTTCCCTGGGGATATTACAAACCATATCACCGGTGGGTGTAGGCCCCACGAGATATGGGGAGTAATACCACCTTGTCTCCTTCAAGATGTTATGAACTATATCATAGATGGGTGCAGCCCCCTTGGATATGGGGAATAATATCACCCTCCCTCCCCAGATCATTACAAACCATAGATGGTGTCCTTGCACTCCTGGGCTGCCCACCACAGCTCAGGGGTGATCTCAGGATTTATGTTCCTTTCCCAACTTTGAGACAGCAGAGGAAGAGACCTTAGCAGTAGCTGTGGCCAAGAGCCTTTTGCTGGTCTCCTGGGGGCCCCACTTCAGAGAGATGCAGGTTCACAATTTCTCAGTGCAATCAGCCCATGATGGAGGGTCTGTGCTGTTGTCCCTAGCTTGTGTTCCCTGTCTGGTGAACAGCAGTGGGGGTGGGTGGAAGTTATGGAAGATGGACTGGAGTATTCTCTTTGGGTTGACTGCAGTTTGTTACAGGCGAGAATAAGGCACTTAGAGTCTTGCTTGTTCATTAATTCGAGGGTAGTGAAGGCAGTTCCACTGCAAAGACAGTGGCATAGAGGCTTTCAGTTGCCCTTGGGGACTCTATCTCCAAGAAACATAGAGCTGCTCTTACTGGGGGTGTTCAGCCAGTGGAGTGAGACAGGTACATTACTGATATGAACTTTGGGTTCTAGTTGTTGGGAAGCAGGGGGTCAAAGGCTCACAAGGAGGAGAAATTGGTTTCCTCTCTGTATGGTGGCTGTGGCATGCTTTAAGTTTGAGTGTAGCCCTCAGGCTCTTTGTTTCTTCCCTAGACCAAGGACAGCAGGGATAGAACTCTTACTGTGGCAGTGGCAGAGGGGCTGTTTGATGCCTATGGGAGACTATCCTTGAGGAACCTCTGGGCCACTACCAGTGGGTATGCCCAGCTGCAGGCGTGACGACTGTGTTCGTGAGCTGGGGGCTTTGCCTGGTGAATAGTGAGGGTGGGGGCTCTCAGGGTAGAGGGGCTGGACTTCCCTCTGTATGGTGGCTGCAGTGTGCTGGAGGTACTAGTATAATGACTAGGCCCTTTGTTCCTTCCCAGTCTGAGGGATGTTAGGGCTGTAGCATTTCAACTGTAGTGGTGGAGGGGTTTTGGGTTGACTGGGATTTCTTCCTTGGAGAAATGCTGGGCTTCCTCTGATTTTGGTGATCAGGTGGGGCGTGTGGTTGCCTGTCACTTTTCTGTTGAATTCCAGTGTTCCCTCTTGGATTATCTATTCAAACTATGATTATTCACTCACTATTTGGTTCTTTTTAGTGGAGGAAGTGAGTATGAAATAGCCCTAGTCAGCCATCTTGAATCTTGGCATTTGTATGTTTTCTGGAAATGTACAGAATATTACATTAACATTGTCAATAGGTTCTTGGAAATTGAACCAAGATAGGTTCCTTGTTATATGAAATGAAATAGAACAAAACCAATTTTACCACAGACTAATTGATATAAACTAGAGTTAAACTTCTATAGCATATTTCTGTTCACAAAAACATCACCAAACTTCTGAAGACCAAAACACTTTTAATATTAGACACTGAAATAAATGTGAGTGCTCTCTCTATATATGTATTTAAGAAAGATTAATGAAAATAAGTAAGATAATGATTTATCCAATTATTTCAGCTTAGAGTTGCAAGTGGTCAGAGCCCATCTAGGCAGCACAGGGCACAAGGTGGGAGCCAACCCTGGAGAGATGCCATCTCATTGCAGGGCGCACTGTCACCCCCTCCCCCACAACAGACAAACTCACTAGGACCAGAAACCATTAAGACTCGCCAATTCACCTAACATACAAATCTTTGGGATGTGGGAGGAAACCAGAGCTCCTGGAGAAAGCCCATACTGATATGGTGAGAACATGCAAACTACACAGACAGTGGCCCAAGTCAGGAATTAAGTTTTTTTTCCTTCACTAATATTATAATAAAATGATGTTGAACTAAATGAAGTTATTTTGGGACATGCTGTATTCTGCAAATAACTTTCCTAATTTTCTGTTCACTTTTCAATTTCAAGTGTGTTTATTTTGTTGGCTGGTTTTAATGTTGGCACATCTTTCAGTCCTTTCATTATTTTTATTTCTTCCATTGTTTCTAAAATAACAAATGCCCTTGTTTCTCTAGAGTTAATAAATATTTGCTTTTATATTCTTCCAATTTAAGAATTCAGCCTTACTTGTAAGTTATTTGAAGATATTGTGCGAGCTGCATTAATAAAGTTTAACTAATTTTTATTTAATTTTTAATAGAAATATTTAATATTTGTGGAATAATTCATTAAGTCACTTGCGTTCTGAAAGTGCTCCAATGTACTTAGGCTGTACTAGGAGTATCTAGTATATTTTATTTTCAGTTAAAATATCCATGACTTTATCACCTGATAATCCTGTTTTATCAGTTTATACTTGCCTTATCAATGCATCATTCCTTTCTGAAGAACTAAGTCGTGTTTTCCCAGATAAAATGGGTAATGTGACATAATGTCCTCATTTTAAGCAATGATATTTATAAAATTATCTTCACAAACCTAAAGAAAAAATATGGCTGCTTTCCTTTCAGTTTTTCTTTTTTTTCCTTTTTTTTTTGCTATCTAAGTTTTATTTAAGGAGTAGAGTGATAATAGAAATACAATGAGCTCAGGTAACATGTAATAATTGTATTTGGAGAATTTTAAATGTTATACCTTTGCATATAATGAATTTCCCTGAAAAAAAGATTCATTGGGTCTATCTGAAAACACTGTTCTCAAAATGTGTACTGTGGCAGTTGTGCATTGTGTTAATAGTCATGTATTTAGCATCATTGATAGTAAACGAAGAGGCCACGATTGGGAAGATGAACCTCAGAGTAGCTTGGGGTGGCAAAAAGAAACATTTTGAAACAAATGATAGACAAAATGTGGCACCAGTTTTCTACTTCAACTCTCCAACACATTTTCATATCTGCTAAAATGTTCTCTTCAAAGAACTTATGTGTTCTTTTTGTTGTTGTTCTGACTCAGAATGGGAGTTATTAGCTTCTCTATTTGGATCCAAGCCTCTGGAAGGCAGGGGAAATGACCCTTCACTCTTACTTGTGTAGTACCTACAACACCATTCGGTAATATTCAAATGATTGATTTCTTCAAGATGGTGACAGCTCAGAGGAGGGACCATAAATGTAAGGAAAACTGCAGATTTCCTTAATATAATCAAATTACGAGACTCTGAGATTAGCAATAAAAAGGGTGTATCTAGGTGGGAAAGTTGCCTTTGACTCTTACCATGGAGACTGTTATCTCTTGCTAAACCCTCTGCCATCCTGGCTCCAGGGAACAACAGTCAGGGATTTGTGAAACAGCTATGCTTTTCCAGGAGGACATGCTGTCATTTTTGTCAACTCTGGAAGACTAGGATTTAACTTATTAAAGGAATCAGTGGGATTTCGTTTCAGGAGTCAGTTGTTTCTTTCCAATTATAGCATTGTATTTGCCCTTGTTTGGTTTTTCAACCCTGTCCTCTAGAGTCACTGCCCCCGATTATTCCTTAGTACTCTTAAGCTCACTTTACAGAAAAGGGAAAATTGAAACTCAGAGAGATTAAATGACTTCATAAGGTTAAAAAATAGGTCATCTTGAATGTGATATAGAAACCAATTCTGTTGGTCATATTTCACAGGTTTTACTATATGTGACTAAACTAACTGCTCTAGAGTGATTCAATCCTGCTTTTCTTCTTCATATTCTTTAGTAGAATTGTGTTGTTCTTCAGTTTTTGTGACAAGCATGCCATTTGTTCTTATGTGAACTGCTACCTTTAACTTCAGTGTATCTTAGGTGTTCTGGGTTTGTTCATTTGTTTTGCCACTGATTCCATTTTCTTTTTTAGAGTGCATTCTCAATTTTATGAAGACATTCTACCCTTAAAAATCTTTCCATTTTATGTTTTATTTACTTGGTTAAATGATGAACTCATCTCTTGCCTTTTTTTAATTATATATTGTTTTTGCTTTAAAAATGCCTTGCTCTTTCCATTCTCATCAGTGCTTAACTTACTACAGATCTCATTGGCTGACCTCACTGATTCTAGTCCATCCTATACACTACTGGATTAATGTTTTTTTAAATTTTATTTTATTATTGTTATACTTTAAGTTATAGGGTACATGTGCACAATGTGCAGGTTAGTTACATATGCATACATGTGCCATGCTGGTGTGTTGCACCCATTAACTCGTCATTTAGGATTCGGTATAACTCCTAATGCTATCCCTCCCCCATCCTCCCACCCCACAACAGTCCCCAGAGTGTGATGTTCCCCTTCCTGTGTCCATGTGTTCTCATTGTTCAATTCCCACCTATGAGTGAGAATATGCAGTGTTTGGTTGTCTGTTCTTGTGATAGTTTACTGAGAATGATGACTTCCAATTTCATCCATGTCCCTACAAAGGACATGAATTCACCATTTTTATGGCTGCATAGTATTTCACGGTGTATATGTGCCACATTTTCTTAATCCAGTCTATCATTGTTGGACATTTGGGTTGGTTCCAAGTCTATGCTATTGTGAATAGTGCTGCAATAAACATACGTGTGCATGTGTCTTTATAGCAGCATGATTTGTAGTCCTTTAGGTATATACCCAGTAATGGGATGGCTGGGTCAAATGGTATTTCTAGTTCTAGATCCCTGGGGAATCACCACACTGCCTTCCACAATGGTTGAACTAGTTTACAGTCCCACCAACAGTGTAAAAGTGTTCCTATTTCTCCACATCCTCTCCAGCACCTGTTGTTTTCTGACTTTTTAATGATTGCCATTCTAACTGGTGGGAGATGGTATCTCATTGTGGTTTTGATTTGCATTTCTCTGATGGCTAGTGATGGTGACCATTTTTTCATGTGTTTTTTGGCTGCATATATGTCTTCTTTTGAGAAGTGTCTGTTCATGTCCTTTGCCCACTTTTTGAAGGGGTTGTTTGTTTTTTTCTTGTAAATTTCTTTGAGTTCATTGTAGATTCTGGATATTAGCCCTTTGTCAGATGAGTAGGTTGTGAAAATTTTCTCCTATTTTGTAGATTGCCTATTCACTCTGATGGTAGTTTCTTTTGCTGTGCAGAAGCTCTTTAGTTTAATTAGATCTCATTTGACTATTTTGTCTTTTGTTGCCATTGCTTTTGGTGTTTTAGACATGAAGTCCTTGCCCATGCCTATGTCCTGAATGGTAATGCCTAGGTTTTCTTCTACGGTTTTTATGGTTTTAGGTCTAACGTTTAAGTCTTTAATCCATCTTGAATTAATTTTTGTATAAGGTGTAAGGAAGGGATCCAGTCTCAGCTTTTTACATATGGCTAGCCAGTTTTCCCAGCACCATTTATTAAATAGGGAATCCTTTCCCCATTGTTTGTTTTTCTCAAGTTTGTCAAAAATCAGATAGTTGTAGATATGCGGTGTTATTTCTGAGGGCTCTGTTCTGTTCCATTGATCTATATCTCTGTTTTGGTCCCAGTACCATGCTGTTTTGGTTACTGTAGCCTTGTAGTATAGTTTGAAGTCAGGTAGCATGATGCCTCCGGCTTTGTTCTTTTGGCTTAGGATTGACTTGGTGATGCGGGCCCTTTTTTGGTTCCATATGAACTTTAAATTAGTTTTTTCCAATTCTGTGAAGAAAGTCATTGGTAGCTTGATGGGGATGGCATTGAATCTATAAATTACCTTGGGCAGTATTGCCATTTTCACGATATTGATTCTTCCTACCCATGAGCATGGAATGTTCTTCCATTTCTTTGTATCCTCTTTTATTTCATTGAACAGTGGTTTGTAGTTCTCCTTGAAGAGGTCCTTCATGTCCCTTGTAAGTTGGATTCCTAGGTATTTTATTGTCTTTGAAGCAATTGTGAATGGGAGATCACTCATGGTTAGGCTCTTTGTTTGTCTGTTGTTGGTGTATAAGAATGCTTGTGATTTTTGTACATTGATTTTATATCCTGAGACTTTGCTGAAGTTGCTTATCAGCTTAAGGAGATTTTGGGCTGAGACAATGGGGTTTTCTAGATATACAGTCATGTCATCTGCAAACAGGGACAATTTGACTTCCTCTTTTCCTAATTGAATATACTTTATTTCCTTCTCCTGCCTAATTGCCCTGGCCAGAACTTCCAACACTATGTTGAATAGGAGTGGTGAGAGAGGGCATCCCTGTCTTTTGCCAGTTTTCAAAGGGAACGCTTCCAGTTTTTGCCCATTCAGGATGATATTGGCTGTGGGTTTGTCATAGATAGCTCTTATTATTTTGAGATATGTCCCATCAATACCTAATTTATTGGCAGTTTTTAGCATGAAGCATTGTTGAATTTTGTCAAAGGCCTTGTCTGCATCTATTGAGATAATCATGTGGTTTTTGTCTTTGGTTCTGTTTATATGCTGGATTACATTTATTGATTTGCATATATTGAACCAGCCTTGCATCCCAGGGATGAAGCCCACTTGATCATGGTGGATAAGCTTTTTGATGTGCTGCTGGATTTGGTTTGCCAGTATTTTATTGAGGATTTTTGCATCAATGTTCATCAAGGATATTGTTCTAAAATTCTCCTTTTTGGTTGTGTCTCTGCCTGGCTTTGGTATCAGGATGATGCTGGCCTCATAAAATGAGTTAGGGAGGATTCCCTCTTTTTCTATTGATTGAAATAGTTTCAGAAGGAATGGTATCAATTCCTCCTAGTACCTCTGGTCGATTTCAGCTGTGAATCCATCTGGTCCTGGACTCTTTTTGGTTGGTAAGCCATTGATTATTTCCACAATTTCAGAGCCTGTTATTGGTCTATTCAGAGATTCAACTTCTTCCTGGTTTAGTCTTGGGAGGGTGGATGAGTCGACGAATTTATCCATTTCTTCTAGATTTTCTAGTTTATTTGCGTAGAGGTGTTTGTAGTATTTTCTGATGGTAGTTTGTATTTCTGTGGGATCAGTGGTGATATCCCCTTTATCATTTTTTATTGCATCTATTTGATTCTTCTCTCGTTTCTTCTTTATTAATCTTGGTAGCAGTCTATCAATTTTGTTGATCCTTTCAAAAAACCAGCTCCTGGATTCATTAATTTTTTGAAGGGTTTTTTGTATCTGTATTTCCTTCAGTTCTGCTCTGATTTTAGTTATTTCTTGCCTTCTGCTAGCTTTTGAATGTGTTTCCTCTTGCTTCTCTAGTTCTTTTAATTGTGATGTTAGGGTGTCAATTTTGGATCTTTTCTGCTTTCTCTTGTGGGCATTTAGTGCTATAAATTTCCCTCTACACATTGCTTTGAATGTGTCCCAGAGATTCTGGTATGTTGTGTCTTTGTTCTTGTTGGTTTCAAAGAACATTTTTATTTCTGCCTTCATTTCATTATGTACCCAGTAGTCATTCAGGAGCAGGTGGTTCTGTTTCCATGTAGTTGAGTGGTTTTGAGTGAGGTTCTTAATCCTGAGTTCTAGTTTGATTGCACTGTGGTCTGAGAGACAGTTTGTTATAATTTCTATTCTTTTACATTTGCTGAGGAGAGCTTTACTTCAAAGTATGTGGTCAATTTTGGAATAGGTGTGGTGCGGTGCTGAAAAAAATGTATATTCTGTTGATTTGGGGTGGAGAGTTCTGTAGATGTCTATGAGGTCTGCGTGGTGCAGTGCTCAGTTCAATTCCTGGGTATCCTTGTTAACTTTCTGTCTCATTGATCTGTCCAATATTGACAGTGGGCTGTTAATGTCTCCCATTATTATTGTGTGGGAGTCTAAGTCTGTTCGTAGGTCACTCAGGACTTGCTTTATGAATCTGGGTGCTCCTGTATTGGGTGCATATATATTTAGGATAGTTAGCTCTTCTTGTTGAATTGATCCATTTACCATTATGTACTGGCCTTCTTTGTCTCTTTTGATCTTTGTTTGTTTAAAGTCTGTTTTATCGGAGACTAGGATTGCAACCCCTGCCTTTTTTGCTTTCTATTTGCTTGTAGATCTTCCTCCATCCCTTTATTTTGAGCCTATGTGTGTCTCTGCACATGAGATGGGTTTCCTGAATACAGCACACTGATGGGTCTTGACTCTTTATCCAATTTGCCACTCTGTGTCTTTTAATTGGAGCATTTAGTCCATTTACTTTTAAAGTTAATATTGTTATGTGTGAATTTGATCCTGTCATTTTGATGTTAGTTGGTTATTTTGCTCGTGAGTTGATGTAGTTTCTTCCTATCCTCGATGGTCTTTACAATTTAGCATGATTTTGCAGTGGCTGGTACCGGTTGTTCCTTTCCATGTTTAGTGCTTCCTCCAGGAGCTCTTTTAGGGCAGGCCTGGTGGTGACAAAGTCTCTCAGCATTTGCTTGTCTGTAAAGTATTTTATTTCTCCTTCACTTATGAAGCTTAGTTTGGCTGGATATGAAATTCTGGGTTGCAAATTCTTTTCTTTAAGAATGTTGAATATTGGCCCCCTCTCTCCTCTGGCTTGTAGAGTTTCTGCTGAGAGATCTGCTGTTAGCCTGATGGGCTTCCCTTTGTGGGTAACCCGACCTTTCTCTCTGGTTGCCCTTAACATTTTTTCCTTCATTTCAACTTTGGTGAATCTGACAATTATGTGTCTTGGAGTTGCTCTTCTTGAGGAGTATCTTTGTGGCATTCTCTGTATTTCCTGAATCTGAATGTTGGCCTTCCTTGCTAGATTGGGGAAGTTCTCTTGGATAATGTCCCGCAGAGTGTTTTCCAGCTTGGTTGCATTCTCCCGGTCACTTTCAGGTACACCAATCAGGCGTAGATTTTGTCTTTTCACATAGTCCCATATTTCTTGGAGGCTTTGCTCATTTCTTTTTATTCTTTTTTCTCTAAACTTCCCTTCTCATGTCATTTCATTGAATTCGTCTTCCATCACTGATACCCTTTCTTCCAGTTGATTGCATCAGCTCCTGAGGCTTCTGCATTCTTCAACCTAATTCTCGAGCCTTGGCTTTCAGCTCCATCAGCTCCTTTAAGCACTTCTCTGTATTGGTTATTCTAGTTTTACATTCATCTAAATTGTTTTCAGTTTTCAACTTCTTTGCCTTTGGTTTGAATTTCCTCCTGTAGCTCAGAGTAGTTTGATCATCTGAAGCCTTCTTCTCTCAACTCGTCATAGTCATTCTCCATCCAGCTTTGTTCCATTGCTGGTGAGGAACTGTGTTCCTTTGGAGCAGGAGAGGCACTGTGCTTTTTAGAGTTTCCAGTTTTTCTGCTCTGTTTTTTCCCCATCTTTGTGGTTTTATCTACTTTTAGTCTTTGATGTTGGTGATGTACAGATGGGTTTTTGGTGTGGATGCCCTTTCTGTTTGTTAATTTTCCTTCTAACAGACAGGACCCTCAGCTGCAGGTCTGTTGGAGTTTGCCAGAGGTCCACTCCAGACCCTGTTTGCCTGGGTAACAGCAGCGGTGGCTGCAGAACAGCGGATTTTCTTGATCAGCAAATGCTGCTGTCTGCTCATTCCTCTGGAAGTTTTGTCTCAGAGGAGTACCCGGTCTTGTGAGGTCAGTCTGCCCCTACTTGGGGGTGACTTGCAGTTAGGCTGCTTAGGGGTCAGGGGTCAGGGACCCACTTGAGGAGGCAGTCTGTCCATTCTCAGATCTCCAGCTGCATGCTGGGAGAACCTCTACTCTCTTCAAAGCTGTCAGACAGGGACATTTAAGTCTGCAGAGGTTACTGCTGTTTTTTTGTTTGTCTGTGCCCTGTCCCCAGAGGTGGAGCCTACAGAGGCAGGCAGGCCTCCTTGAGCTGTGGTGGGCTCCACCCAGTTGGAACTTCCTGGCTGCTTTGTTTACCTAAGCAAGCCTGGGCAATGGTGGTTGCCCCTCCCTCAGCCTCACTGCCACCTTGCAGTTTGATCTCAGACTGCTGTGCTAGCAATCAGTGAGACTTCATGGGTGTAAGACCCTCTGAGCCATGTGCGGGATATAATCTCCTGGTGTGCCGTTTTTTAAGCCCATCGGAAAAGCACAGTATTAGGGTGGGAGTGACCCGATTTTCCAGGTGCCATCTGTCACCCCTTTCTTTGACTAGGAAAGGGAACTCCCTGACCCCTTGCACTTCCTGAGTGAGGCAATGCCTTGCCCTGCTTTGGCTTGTGGAGGGTGTGCTGCACCCACTGTCCTGTGCCCACTGTCTGGCACTGCCTAGTGAGATGAACCCGGTACCTTAGGTTGAAATGCAGAAATCACCCATCTTCTGCATCGCTCACGCTGGGAGCTGTAGATCGGAGCTGTTCCTATTCGGCCATCTTGGCTGCTTCCTCTGGATTATTGTTTTTAAACACATATCTTGTTTTATTCTTCTTCTCAAAAGCCTACAATTCAGGATGATAAGTAATAAATGATGAAGAGTGACATAAAATATTTTCAAACTCAGTTCTGGCAACATTTGTGACAAAATCATTGATGATCATAAAAAAGGTAAGAGACCTTTCACATAGGAATTTTAACCTCTGACATAGAATATCATCCAGGTGGACAAGAGCCAGAGAGAAAAGAACCTAAGAAGAAACAGCAATTGGAAACAGAAACAACCTCACACTGGTCTAAAAATCCTTCCCAAGTTAAACATTAGGCATAGGATTATTGGTTCCAGTGTGGTCAGCTGATCCTGATAAGTATTTTCCAATGTCTCATAATGTCTCTTGAAGAACATGACCTGAGCATGGAGCACTGCATCTTAGTTTGTGAAGTTCTCATAAGCAGAGTGCTATGTGATGGACAGGGACAGGTGTGGTGCATTATGGATCCTTAGATACGTCTTTCTAGCACATCAGAGAGCAAAACACTAGGATTAGGAAAGAACCTATCACAGTGTAGCAAAGTCGTATTGGCAGAAAATCTACTAGACATTGGGGGTTGGACTAATAGGTGAGAACAGCATCCTGTTATTTAGCTTTAGATTTAAGAAGGGGTTTGAACAAGGACTGTGTACTGCATGGACATAAATTATGCCAAGATTATAAGTTTGAAAAATACCAAGTGTGAGAGCTTTTTCCCCTCATAAGGAGTAAAGAGAAAGTAATCAACAAGGAGAGTCTAGAAAAAGTACTTTAAATTTAGGGAAATGGAACATTATCTTGAAGAGGCAGAAGTAGGATGAATCTTAGCAATGGATTTATTCCAGAATCCAAAGCAACTTTGATGAAAAGTGTTTGCCGTTCTCTATAGGGTGAAAGAAGAATGTTTTCTATGAAACAGGAGAAACATGTTGAAAAAGAAATACAGAGGATTAGAAGAAGGGGTAGACTGAAGATAATTCACAATGAGCAGATCTATGCAAACATGCCCCTAAAGGTCGAGGATGCTGAGAGGCTGAATAAAGAGACTGACAAACCCAGTTTCTCAGAAAGAAACATTTAATGGTGACCTACAAGCAGAAGCCACCCCTTGGGCTGTGGCAAGACAAGATGGTGGATCTCCACACGCTTATTCTCAGACCCAGGGCTTATATACTGCAGAGAAGAAATGTGTAGGAGAATTGAAGTCGATCTCTCAGGGAAAGAAAATAATGTTGTATGAATCTGCATAATGGAAGGATTTATGGCAAAGATTGTTTTGACCTAAGGGCAAAATTTATGATAGTAGTAGATAAAGTAGAAATCCTGTTTTTCCAATTTTTATTTCAGATTCAGGGGGTACATGTGCAGGTTTCTTACATGAGTATACTGCACGATACTGAGGTTTGGGTATCCATGATCTCATTACCCAGGTACTGAGCATAATACTCAATAGTTAGTTTTCAATACTTGCCCACCACCCTCCTTCTCCCTTCTAGTAGTTTCCAGTGTCTATTTTTCCCATCTTCATGTTTATGATACCCAATGTTTAGCTCCCACTTATAAGTGAAAACATGTGGTATTTAGTTTTCTGCTCCTGTGTTAATTCACTTAGGACAATGGTCTGCAGCTTCTTTCATATTGGTGCAACAACATGACTTCATTTTTTTATGACTATGTAGTATTCCATGGTGTATATGTACTGTGGTTTCTTAATCCAGCACACCATGAATGGGCACCTAGGTTGATTTGATACCTTTGCTGTTGTCTATAGTGCTGCAATGAACATATGAGTCCATGTGCATTTTGGTAGAATGATTTATTTTTCTTTTGGATATATACACAGTAATGGGATTGCGGGATCAAAGGGTAGTTCTGTTTTAAGTTCTTTGATAAATCTCCAGACTGCTTTCCACAGTGGCTGAACTAATTTCCATCTCCATCAACAGTGTGCAAGTGTTCTCTTCTTCACAGCCTCACCAGCATCTGTTAGTTTTTGAATTTTTTATAATAACCATCCTTACTGTTATGAGATGGTATCTCATTGTGGTTTTGATTTGCATGTTTTTGATCATTAATCATGTTGAAGTATTTTTTCATGTTTGTTGGCTGCATATATGTCTTCTTTTGAGGTGTCTGTTTATGTCTTTTGCCCATTTTTAATGGGATTGTTTATCGCCTGTTTATTTAAATTTCTTATTATTTCTAGATGTTAGACGTTTGTCAGATGCATAGTTTGCAAATATCTTCTCTCAAATTGTAGTTTATCTGCTTACTTTGTTGATAGTTTCTTTTGCTGTGCAGAAGCTCTTTAATTTAATTAGGTTGTATGTGTCAATTTGTGTTTTTGTTGCAATTGCTTTTGAGAACTTAGTCATAAGTTATTTCTCCCAAGGCCGATATCCAGAATGGTGTTTTCTGGGTTTTTTTTTTTCTAGGATTCTTATAGTTTGAGGTCTTACATTTAAATCTTTAACCCAGCTTGAGTTAATTTTTCTGTATGGTGAAAGGTAGAGGTCCAGTTTTATTCTTCTGCATATGTTTAGCCAGCTATCCCAGTGCCATTTATTGAATAGGGAATTCTTTCCCCATTGCTTATTTATGTCAGCTTTTTGAAAAGATCAAATAGCTATAGGTCGGCAACTTTATTTCTGGGTTCTCTTTTCTGTTCCATTGTTCTATGTGTGTGTTTTTGTACTAGTACCATGCTATTTTGCTTTGTGTTGCCTTATAGTATAATTTGAATTCAGATAATGTGATGCCTCTGACTTTTTCTTTTTGCTTAGGATTCCTTTAGCTATCTGGGCTCTTTTTTTGGTTCCATAGGAATTTTAGAAAAGTCTTTTCTGATTTGAAGTCCTAGCCAGAACAATCAGGCAAGATAAAGAAAGAAAAGTTATCCAAATAGGAAAAGCAAAAGTCAAATTATCCCTATTTGCTTACAATATGATGCTATACCTAGAAAACCCTGAAAGCTCTGCCAAAAGGCTCCTGGAACTGAAAAATGGTGAAGTTTCATGATACAAAATCAATGTACAAAAACCAGTAACATTTTTATACACCAATAACATTCAAGCTACAATCCAAATAAAGAATGCAATCATATTTACAATATGAATATGTAAGAAAAGAATAAAAATCCTAGGAACACATCTAACCAAGGAGTTAAAAAATCTCTACGAGGAGATCTACAAAACAATGCTGAAAAAAATAATAGAAGACACAAACAAATGGAAAAACATTTCTTGCTCATAGATCAAAAGAGTCAATATTGTTCAAATGGCCACACTGCCCAAAGCAATCTACAGATTCAACACTATTCCTATTAAACTAACAATGTCAGTTTTCACAGGATAATAAAAGAGAAATCTTAGAGATATTCCCAAAATAGGGGTTAATCAGAAGTCAATATGGCTGAATAGCATTCAAAATGGAGTTGCATTATCCGCTACAGATGAAATGAGAGAAATATTTAAAGGAACTTAAAATGCAATAGCAGTGGAATAATAAAAATCAGAAACAACAATGTGGAAATAATTACATTACATTAATTATTTACTTGAAGGATAAACTTGAGAGGATCCCCCAAAGAAGGAGAATAAAACAAACAAAATAATGGGAGACAAATTGAATAGAGAGGTGATACTGAAGGTGATTTTCTGTATTTTCAAAGAAGTAATCAGTAGAGTAACTATAAAATTTACATAAATGTCTTCTACATTAACTAAATACCCGAATAACCAAGTTGAAAAAAATCTGATGTTTCAGGAGAAATAATATATGTATTTAGGATAGTTAGTTTTTCTTGTTTAATTAAACCCTTTACAATTATGTAATGCCCTTCTTGTCTTTTCAAAAATCTTTGTTGGTTTAAAGTCTGTTTTGTCAGAAACTATGATTGTTACCTCTGGTTGTTTCTGTTTTCCATTTGCTTGGTAAGTTTTCTTCCATCCCTTTATTTTGAGCCTATGTGTGTCTTGGCACATGAGCTGGGTCTTTTGAAGACAGAATACTGACAGGTTTTGGCTCTTTATCCAGCTTGCCATTCCGTGTTTTTTAATTGGGGCATTTAGCCCATTTGCATTTAAGGTCAGTATTATGTGTCAATTTGATTCATTCATCATTATTCTAGCTGGTTATTTTGCAGATTTGTTTATGTGGTTGCTTCATAGTTTCACTGTGTACTTCAGTGTGTTTTTGTGGTGGCTGGTAATTTTTTTTTTTAACTATATTTTGTGCTTCCTTCTGGAGCTCTTCCAAGGCAGGCCTGGTGGTGATGAATTCCCTCAGCATTTGCTTGTCTGAAAAACATCTTATTTCTCCATCGCATATGAAGCTTAGTTTGTGCAGATATGAAACTCTGGGTTGGAAATTCTTTTTTTTTAAGAATGTTAAATATTAGCCCCTAATCTCTTCTTGCTTGTACAGTTTCTGCTGAGAGGTCCACTGTTAGTGTGATGGGCTTCCCTTTGGAGGTGACCTGGCCTTTCTCCCTGCTTGTCCTTAACTTTTTTTTTTTTTTCATTTCAACCTTGGAGAATCAGATGATTATGTGTCTTGGGGTTGATCTTCTTGTGCATTATCTTACTGGAGTTCCTTGGATTTTCTGAATTTGAATGTTAGCCTGTCTTGCTAGACTGGGGAAGTTTTCCTAGATGATGTCCTGAAATATGTTTTTCAACTTGGTTCTGTTGTCCCTGTCTCTTTCAGGTACCCCAATTAGTTGTAAGTTTGATCTTTTTACATAGTCTCATATTTCTCAGAGGTTTTGTTCATTCATTTTATTCTTTTTTTTTTTTTTGATGGAGTCTCACTCTGCTGCCCAGGCTGGAGTGTAGTGGCCCAATTTTGGCTCACTGCAACCTCTGCCTCCTGGGTTCAAGTGATTCTCCTGCCTTAGCCTCCCAAGTAGCTGGCATTACAGGCACCCACCACCATGCCCGGGTAATTTTTGTATTTTTGGTAGAGACAGGGTTTTCACCATGTTGGCCAGGCTGGTCTCAAACTTCTGACCTCAAGTGATCAATCCCCTCAGCCTCCCAAAATGTTGGGGCTACAAGCATGATCCATTGCACCTAGCCCTTTTCATTCTTTTTCCTCTAGTCTGCCTGTCTTATTTGAGAAACATAGTCTTCAAGCTCTGATATTCTTTCCTCTGCTTGGTATATTCTGCTGCTGATGCTTGTAATTGCATTGTGATTTTCCTGCATTGTGTTTTTCAGCTCCATCAGGTCAGCTATGCTTTATTCTAAACTGGCTATTCTAGTTATCAGCTCCTGTATTGTTTTATCATGATTCTTAGCTTCTTTGCATTGAGTTACAACATGCTCCTTTATCTCAGCAAAGTTTGTTATTACCCACTTTCTGAAGCCTAGTTTTGTGAATTCAGTCATCTCAGCCTCAGACTAGTTCTGTGCACTTGCTGGAGAAATGTTGTGGTCATTTGGAGGAGAAAAGGCACTCTGGCTTTGTGAATTTTCAGCATTTTTGCATTGATTCTTTCTTATCTTTGTAGGCTTATTTACCTTCATTTTTGAGGTTCCCCAAAAAAACCTCATTCAAAGGAATGGGGTTTTATGGGTCTTTTTTGTTGATGTTGTTGCTTTCTGTTCATTTTTCTTTTAACAGTCAGGCTCTGTAGGACTATTGTGGTTTGCTAGGGGATCGCTCCAGACCCTAGTTGCTTCAGTTTTTCCCTTACCTTGAGATATCACCTGTGAAGCTTATGAAACAGCAAAGATAGTAGCCTGCTCCTTTCCCTGGAAGCTCTGTTCCAGTGGGATACTAACCCGTTGCTGGCCTGGATGCACCTGTAGAAGGTGTCTGGAGACCCCCATTGAGAGGTCTCATCCAGTCAGGAGGGATGGGGTCAGGGACCTGCTTAAAGAAGCAGTCTGGCTGATTTTTGGTAGAGCAGACGTGCTGTGTTATGGGAGACTCCTCCTCATCAGGACCACCTGGACTCCCTGAGCCCAGCATGCAAGAACAGCTAACTCCACTCAGCCACAGAGTCAGCAGAGCAGTTGACTGAGAGCAAGGACTCACAGAGACATTGGCCACTCCTACCCACTGGGGCTCCATCCCAGGGAGAGATCAGAGTTCCTCTATCCCTGGCTGCAGTTGCTGAAATTCCCACAGGGAGGCCCCACCCAATGAGGAAGGATGGTTTGTGTTGTGGGGACTCCTCCTTGTCTAGACCACCTGAACTCCCTGGAGCCAGCAGGCTAGAATGGCTGAGTCAAACTAACTTCAGAAATGGCGGCTGCCCTTCCCCCCAGGAACTCATTTGTCTCGGACGTCTCCAGCCTGCTGTGCTGGTTGGCTGGAATTCCAAGCCAGTGGGTCTTAACTTGTGAGGTGCTGTGGAAGTGGGGCCTGCAGAACAATGCTGCTTGGCTTCCTGGATTCAGCTACTTTCCTAGAAGAATGTACAGATGGATCTCTCACCTTACTGGGATTCCCAGCACCAGAGTCTGTAAAACTCCAGGATCTCTATGTGAGTCTGAGCAACTGCTCTGCTGAGAAGGCACAGCTCTGTGTATGGGACCCAAGGCCCTGGTGGCATGGACTCACAAGGGGATCTTCTGATCTACAGGCTGCAAAGATCTGTGGGAGAAGCATGGGCAGGGTCACACAATCACTGACCACTTCCCTTAGCTGGCAGTGGGGATTCCTTTGGCTCCATGCTGCTCCCAGGTGGGCTATCACCCCACATTACTTTTCTTCATTGTCTGCGGGTCGAGTTGTCCACCTAGTCAGTCCTGATGTAAGAACTTGGATATTGCAGTTAGAGATGCTGAATTTACTCTCTGTTTTCATTCCTCTCTGTGAGAGCGACAGTCTGTAGCTACTTCTAATCAGCCATCTTGGCCACATCTAGGCACCAATGGCACTCTCTTTAAATTCATGAAATTGGCCTTTTACAAAATGAAGACTAGGCTTGATTTTCCAATAGCAGAGTCTCCCAGAAGTATTAGTTTGAACTGGCATATTTTATTTCCAGTATTTGGCCCGTTGAGTCTTTTTGCTCCTCGATTAGCCATGTTCAAATTTGAAAAAAGCCCCTAATTTTAGACTCTTAAAAGAACTTCCAGAATTCAGGGGATCAATTTTTTTCTTTCTGGAGGCAAAGAAACCTGAGACCGCAGCAAGTGGAGCTGTGGGACTGAAGCTTCCTGTCAGCAAGGCCCAGGTGTGGCCCATAGGACAAGAGTATGTCGATGGCAGTGGTGGTGGCATCTCCTCATCGTGCTGCTCCCCTCACCTACATTTTATCAACTCATTTGTCAGTGAACATTTAGGTTATTTCCACATCTTGGCTTTTGTTAATAATCATGCAATGAACACAGGAGTGCAGATATGTCTTCAAACTCCTGATTGCAATTCCTTTGGATATATATGCAGAAGTGGGATTGCTGGATCAAATAATAATTCTGTTTTTAATTTTTTGAGGAACCTCCATATTGTTTTCCATAGCTGATAGCTGTGCACCAATTTACATTTCCACGAACATTGTACACATTTTCTTTTCTACATCCTTGCCAACACTTGTTGTCCTTTTTTTTAATTTTTGATAATAGCCATCCTAACAGGTGTGAGATGATATCTCATTGTGGTTTTCATTTGCATTTCTCTAACGATTAGTAACACTGAGCACTTTTTCATATACTGTTGGCTATTGTATGTCTTAGAAATTACACCAAAAGCACAGGGAAAGAAAGCAAAAATAGACAAGCAAGAGTAGGTCAAACTAAAAAGCCTTTGCTCAGGAAAAGAAAAAAAATAATAAAATAAAAAAACAAGTTATGAAATGGGAGAAAACACTTACAGACTATATATTTGATTAAAGGTTAATATCCAAAATATATAAAGAACTCCTGCAGCTTAGTAGCAAAACAAACAAACAAACAAACAAAAAACCCAAATAACTTAATTGAAAAACTGGCAAAGGACTTGAGAAAACATTTCTCCAAAGAAGCTCTACTTCAGTAGTATTGAGTGAAGTCTCCCTTGCCTGCTTAACTTTATCTGGTGCAGTTTTTGTTTTGACATCTTCCAACAGGTCTCCCTGCTTCTATCTGCTGTGTCTCATTGCACTCTAATCTTAATTCAGCAGCCAGAATAATATCATGTTACTCCTATAATCAAAACTATCTAATGGCTCCCAATTTCAAAGAGAAAAACCAAAGTCCTTATAAAAGTTACAAGGCACTACTCAAAATTGCCCTTAATTATTTTTCTGATGTCATGACCTACACCTCTCAAACTCATTCATTCCACTTCAACCACATGGGTGTCTTTACATTTCTAATACAAATGTGTTCCTATTGCTCAGAGCTGCCCCTCTACCTAAAGAGCCACTTGACTAACTCTATTTTCTCCTTCAAATTTTGGTACAATTATCCCTTCCTCAATGAGGCTTATTCTGACCAGTTTATTTAATGTGTGTGGTAGGCTGAAGAATGACTTCCCCCCAAAGATTTCCATATTCTAATCCCCAGAACTTGTGAATATGTTATCTTACATTTCAAAAGGGACTTTGCAGATGTGATTAAGTTATGGGTCTGGAGATGGAGAGATTATCCTGAATTATTCAGGTGGGCCCAACATAATTTCAATTATTCTTATAAGAGGGAGGTGGGAGGGTCAGACTGAGAGATGTGACCATGGGGGCTGAGGTAGGAGTGATGTCACCATGAGCCAAAGAATGCAGGCAGTCCCTAGAATCTGGAAAAGGAAGCAAATTCTCTGTTTGAGCCTCCAGAAGGAACATAGCCCTGCCTGCAACTTGATTTTACACCAGTGAAAAAGATTTGGACTTCTGGCTTACAAAGTATAAGATGGTAAGTTTGTGTTGTTTTAAGCCACTAAGTTTGTGGTAATTTATTACAGAAGTGATAGGAAATTAATACAGTGTCTAACCTGCAGCCCCAACACTCTGACTTTATTCTTCTCTACTTTTTATTTTTTCCATAGTAGTTGTCATATTTAGCACACTGCATCATTTTCCTGTATTTCTTTCTTCTCTTCTTCCTCAAGAATATGAGCATTGTGTTTACAGATCATTTTTTGTTTTATTCACTTATAAATGTTTGTTGAATTAATTAAAAGAAGAGAAAATCAATCACAGATATGAAAGGACCAACATAGTGAATTGCCTTGGATCCATATTGCACAATTTTGCTGTTGGCAGACTGAAGTTGTCCAAGGGCTGAGTAAAAATGATGAGGAATACTTTACAAAGGCCTTACTTGGTTTGGTTCCTGTGGTAGAGATGATTTGTTTGCAGTGACTGTTCCTTAAGTTCCCCTGCTTCATTTTTCTTCCTTTACTGCAGTTAGTTTTCATCAATGGACTGCAGATTGCAGTGACATGTTTCACTTCTGGGAGGGGAAATTTAACAGCCAGCATGCTCCCTCCACCTCTTTTTCCCCCACTGTTATGATCATGAGACCAATTGTTCCAAATGGCAGAGCTAAAGAGGGAAGAGGGCTACCTAAACCACACAAAGCTTTGCAATAGAGAATAGTAAACCTTAATTATGTTAAGTGACAAAGATTCTGATGGCTTTCTAGTTATAGTAGTTAACCTTAATTGGAGAAGCTAAATCCAGAATAAAGTGGTATTACAAGGTTTTTGGTGTCTGCAAGTTGGAAGTTGAAACTATCTTTTGTATACTTCTTTTAGCTATTATATACTTGTGCCTATTTATTTCTCAGTACCAGAAAATGTGTTCCTGAAGACATATTCTTCATTGCACAGTTCAGAGAAAATCTTGTATCCTCATTGTTGAACATTCAAAATAATAGTGTGATTATTCTATTACTGTACTTGATAGCTATGGCTAAACAACTAATCCCAGTGGGAAATTTCTAGAAGTATTAGAAAATTTGAACTACATAGTGCAACTCCGTGACCACTTCCACTGCCATAGAATTTTAGTAAGATTTTTATATAGCTTCAAAAATTAAAAAAAAAAACCATTGAATTAACTTTTTTAATTGAAAGATTGATAAAACATCTCATGGCAGATATTTTTGTTATCAACTTCAGTATATACATTTATCATCTTTTTGTATGATTTAATATTCTAATGCAGTAATTGGCAAACTTTCTCTATAAAGGGCCAAATAGTAAATATTTCACTTTTAGAAGCCATGTAGCTACTCTTACAACTACTCAGCTCTGCCATTATGACATGCAAGCAGCCATAGACAATATATAAATGAATGTGCGTGTCTGTGTTCCACTAAAACTTTATTTACAAAAACAAATGCTGGCTGTAGTTTGTTAACTCTCACTCAATGGGAGTACAGAATATTCTTTGTTTCAGTGTTTTAGTCTTGGTAGTAATTTTCAATCAAGAATCTTCCAGGAGGTGGATGATGAGTGCGTTGGGGTTCCTTAGAGGAACAGAATGAGTAAGATTATACACACACACACACACACACACACACACTCAGTTGATTCTTGTTATTCACTGTAGTTATGTTCTATAAAGTTTCTATGAACATTGAATCAGTGAATAATGAACAATTGCTCCTAGGGAAAATACAGTGTAGTTTCCTGAAAGCCTCTGGTCACAACATTTTTGTCAACCAGTCAATATACATTCTTGTTTTATGTGTGTTTCTCTTCAAAGGCACCTTATTTAATACCTATGCTGATTCGTTAACATTGAACTCACAGCCAGCAGCACTGTAACTCATGCCCAAATGAACCTAATCTAATGCATGTATTTTTTCTGTAAGGTACATCACAGGCTTCTTGTGCTTAGGAACATTAGACAACACTGCCACTGTACTTGGAGGCCATTTTAAATAGCAAAATCACCAATGAAATGCACAAAAATGTAAAGAAAATGGTGGCAACTAAATAAATTGTCAAATAATGCTTGTTTGCAGTGTGAGAGATGGACAAAGAAGGCAGAGCATCACCTTGTTCTATTTTAGTTGGGTACATGAGACTCAAACTTTTTGCCATTCTACACGTTTGAGAATGACCACAAACGTGTTGCAAATACTGAATTTGAGCTTACAAATAAATTTTAGTAAGTAGGCAAATTCACAAACATAGAACCTGTAAGTAATGAGAATCTACTCTACACATGTGTACACATACACATACTGTTTATTTCAAGGAATTGACTTATGCAATTGCGGGAATTGAAGAGTCTGAACTTTATAGGGCAAGCTTTATGGCTGGAAACACCAGCAAGAGCTAGGGCTGCAGTCCTGAGGCAGAATTTTTTCTTCCTCAGAGAAACCTTAGTTTTGCTTTTAATGCATTTCAACCGATTGGAAGAGGCCCACCCAGATTGTTACAGATTATCTCCTTTACTTAAAGCTAACTGATTATAGATGTTAAATACATCTACAAATTACCTTCACAGCAATACCTTGATTAGTGTTTGAATAACTGGAACTAGGGCCTAGCCAAGTTAACACTTAAAACTAACCATCACAGTGAGTATACTTTGGAAGGCCACAGAAGATTTAAAGGTGAAATAATGGTATTGTAGTTATATATTTTTCAAAAACATAATTTACCTTTTAAGGATGTATAATAAAGTATTTATAGATGAAAAAATAATTCTTATGAACTCAACAAAATATCAAATGTGATTATCTGGATTCAGTTACCGTCTCAGTGGTTATTATACTTTTCTACATTTGCAAATTTCTACATTTTTTTCGTGCTTATAATTACATGATCAATTCATGGTACTTTTATATATAGAATATATATTAGTTTTCTATTGCTACATAATAAATTACCACAAATTTAACAGCTTAAATAACAGTTTCTATGGGTAAGGAGTTAGAGTTAGGAGTCTGGGTACATTTTATCTTTTCATGGTTTGAACAGACTAATCTCAATGTGTTGGCTAGGGCTTCAGTCCCATCTGAGGCTTGAGGTTTTCTTCCAAGCTCACTGGTTGTTGGCAGAATTCAGTTCCCTGCAACTGCAGGACTAAAGTGTCTCTTTGTCCATAAGTTGCTCTGGATTCCTAAAGGCCACTTTCATGTCCTAACTATATGGCTTTGTCATATAACGTGGAGCTTACTTCTTTAAAGCCAGCGGGAGAAATTCTCTTTAGTGTGCTAAGGTGGAGTCATGTTTATATAACATAACCTTATCAAGGGAGCAGCTGTCCTACCACATTCACAGGACCTGTCCAAACTTAACAGAAGGGAATTATAAAGGGTATGTACACCGGAGGGCAATGATATGGGGGGACATCTTAGGATTCTGCCTCCCATATTAGTTGTGTGATCACAGCTAAAAAGAACATGCATGGCAAAAAGCTGGAAGAAATAAATAAAATGTGTTAAATGTTATCCCTGAGAATAGGTATTATGAGGCAAGGTATATTTTTTCATAATGACTGTGTAGTTTTACATTTCTTCTGTAATAAACACTACCTAATTTTCTGTATTTATTAAATTTTAATTATTTTTTATAGAAGTAATACCAGTTCATGAAGAGAAAAAATCAAACAATAAAGGGTTTAAAGTTGAAAGTATAATTAAATTCTACCCCTTCCTCTGCACTTCTCTCTAGACACCATTTAGAGGATAAATAACTCTTTAAAATTTGGAAGTATCCTTCTGTAAGCATTCTTCAATTTTTCCTTTATACTAAACAACATATATTAGACATCAAGTATATGAATATACCTACTGAGGTCTTAATTTTGATAATTATACTTTTTAGTTCTACAAATTCCAGTTTTTTCTAAGAATTTTAATTTCTTGATAAATATTTTCATCTCATTATATATTTAAAAAATTATATTTCATGAATTGACCATGTTTGGCAACAAAACCTATGTTTGATAACTTCAATTTATGCATTACACATGGTCTGTTTTTATTTTTATTTTTATTTTTTTGCTTTAGATATTTGATCTTGTCTCCTGGCATGCCTGGTTATTTTGAACTGAATGCCATGTATTTTTTTTTTTTTAATGAAAAACTGCAGAGGCTCTTCATGATCTTGTTTTACTCCAGGAAAGATTTATTTTGGCAGTTAGCATTAGGGCAAAGCAATAGACTGCAAACAGAGATTAGAGAGTTTGGCCTGACACTGAGTTTTAACCTTTGTAAGGCTTCTAACTTTGGTTTATAAAGTGTAGCCCATCAGGGGTTACAATAGAAAGCTTGACAAACTGCATATTCTTCTCTTTGGTGAGCCCTAAACTATAATGTTGTCTCTCCAGTATCATCAGACCTACAAAACTTCTGCTTGATTCTTAGCTCCTTGGCTGCCGCTTTCTGCTTTGCCTCCCATCTGCTTGTTCTGCACATGCTAGAAGTCAAAAAATGCCTCTGAGGAAAAGTGATTTGGAAAGTTAGCCTTGTTTCTCTCTGTTTTTCTCTGGGACAATGGCCTCTCATATTCTGGATGCCTTGGTATCACGGACCTCCAGTTTTTGTCTCCTTAACTAAGTCATTGCTTTTGCTTCGTCTTTCAGGCCCAAGTCACTTAGGCATTGTCAAATGGAGGGATGTCAGGTCTACCTTAAGGGGGACCCTCAATTCTTTGTTACTGCCCAGACAGCTGTCTTATGTTTCACTTTCCTTCCAGGTTTTCATCTTGTTTTCCATGAGAGATGTGTTATAAACCAGTCATTTATTTTCAGAAGAATTCTATACTTCTATTTTTATCTCCTAATGTAAACATTATTAGTTTTGTTTTAAACGGTCAATGCTTAATCAATTTGATTTAATTTAAGTCAATTAAATTAAATTAATCAATTTAATTTAAGTCAATGCTTTCTTTACTCTCCATTTATTTATTTATTTATTTATTTATTGAAGTGCATTGTTTCACATTGTTTAAATTCTTACAATGAGAGTCTCTTGGTACGAGATTTCACATTTGGTCTTATCTAAAAATGTCATTTAAAAATATAGCTATTTAATAAAAATGTGTCTGTTGCATAATTCTTTGCTAACCATTATTTTGTCTTAACAATTTGAAAGTATTATACCACATGTCTTGGCTTTCAATTTTTTTATGGAGAAATTTCCCCTCAATCTAATCATTGCTCATTTTAAGTTATCATTTTTTTTCCTCTGTGTGCTATTAGAAGCTACTTTTGACTTGATCAAAGATGATATAATGTGTCTAAATGTTTATTTTTTATTTGTAAAAAATGTATCAGAAAACTTAAGCATACATAAAATAAAAGGGAAGACTATAATGAATCCATCATTACCTCTAATCTTTGCCCTAGCTTAATTACTAGCCTTTTCCCATTCCCATTGTATCTTTATTTGTTTTCATACAATTTGACATTTTTTTCTCTTATCTGTCCTGGACAAATCCCAGTTGTTATCTCTTTTAATAGATTATTCACTTCTTTAGTCTCTCCTGAGATAACCACTAGATGATTAAATCTTATTATATTTTTTCATATCATAAACTTTCAGTTTCATTACCTTGTCTTTCTCCATTACAATCTGATTAATGATTTTAGCTTTGGCTTCTAGTTCAAATTCTTTTTTCAACTTTGTTTAATCTACAGTTTGACCATCGAGATTATACTTTTAATTATATTTCTAGTCTAGTAGTTCTATTTTTTTATTTTTAAAACAGGTCAGTTAATTATTGACAGATTTTTGACACTTGCTTACCACATACTTCTTAGGACAATAGACTCTGAAGGATTTGAATTCTAGCACTACAACTTGCACTGTGTAAATTTAGGGAACTTTCTTAATTTCTCTAAGTTTTCATTTCCTTTTTCATAAAATTAGTAGCATTTACTTTATAGAGTTGTTGAGGATTAGATGAGTAAATATATAAGTGAGGCATGTGGAACAGTACCTGATACAAATAAACATTATAAAAGTATTTATTAAAAACAATATTTTATTTCTTCATTTATTTCTTTAAATCTTTTAAAAAGTTATTTCTGCATACTTGTTTTATCATTTCAATACCTGGTATATTTATATTTATGATTCTATTGATTTTATTTCTGCTGACTTTCATTGACATCATCTTGCTTTCTCATATATTTTGGAAACTTCATTTTTGTAGTTCTTCCTGACCAATTTTCATTTCCAAGAATACTGAAAGCCTGACTTGAAGGTGCATTCCTGCATTTCTTTGGGATCTATTATGGTTCCCCGGGTGCTGAAGTCCCGGCATAACTTTAAGTTAGTGTTCTGGTTTGGGAACCCAGAGCCAATTTGAGGGCAGACCTGTCGTTCTGAATTCTCTCTGGATACTGTTTTCCTAATATCTGAAGCTGAAACAGACTTGTACTTCCCCTTTGATGGTGGGAAATTTTAATTGTAGCTGATCTTTCACTGAAAGTGCAGATTTTGAGGATCCTGGCTCTGTGAAGGAGTCTCAGAGTCCATCCTTCCAAGAGGCATGGACATTAGTGCCCAGGGTCTAGGTTTCTTGTATTCATAAACATCCAGGGCAGTTATGGCTGTAGAGCCAGTTTACCATTCTGGCTTCAGCTTTTTTGAGCCACTGGGGTGTTACCTTATTTTCATGTAAACTTAGTTATAAAATTTAGAGTGAAATCTGTCACAATTCCTTTTGGCATCTATAAACTTTTTATTAACTCTTTTAGAACGTCTATGCTACTAAATTATTGAAAGTTATATAGTCAAATCAGTATTTTCTTTGCCTTGTGTGTGCAGTCATGTTTGTCTGTGTGTGTTTGTGTAGATATGCATGTATTTGCATTTTCCTTTATTGTATTTGGAATGTTTATAGCCTCTTCTTGTTTCTTAATAATTTGGTTAAACTTTAGGATTACCAACTGATTCCCTCCTATGACGTATAATAAAATCATAAGTTTGTACTTCTTTATCTTTTGCCTATATTCTTCTACTTCTGAATTTTTGTTGTTATTTGTCCATTGGGTTTTCAATTTAGGATTACAACATTTTTATTATATTCAACTACTGTAAATCCATTATTAATCCTTCATATTCTTGTGTTCAAACATATTCAGAGTTCATCTTCAACCCTTTTACAATATAGTGCTCCAGTTTCTGAATTCTTTATTTGATCATCTTGAATTAATTTGATTTTTTCATTGAGTAAATTTAAAAAATGACTTCATCAGTACTATAATTCCAGAAATTTTGTTTATTTGTAATTGTTTCTATTGCCTTTATAAATGAATGACAAGTTGGGTGTTGAAAATAGGGATCACTCTTGCTCTATCCAGAACTATGGAAATACTATCATTCTACTCTCTAGTTCTATGAGATCAACTTTTTAAGATTCCACATATGAGTGAGATCATTTGGTAGTTATATTTTTGTGATTGGCTTATTTCACTTAATATAATGTCTTCCAGGTTTATTCATGTTGTTGCAAATGGCAGGGTTTCCTTCCTATTTATGGCTGAATAGTACTCCATTGTGTATGCGTGCCACTTTTCTTTATACGTTCATCCATTGATTGGCATGCAGGTTTATTCCATATCTTAACTATTGTGAATATACTGCAGATATCTCTTTCACATACTGATTTTATTTCTTTTGGAAATACACCCAGTAGTAGAATTGCTGGATCATCTGGCAGTTCTATTTTTTTATTTTTTCAGGTTTGGTAGTTCTATCTTTAATTGTTTTCTATAATAGCTATACTAATATACATTTCCACTAGCAATGTGAAGGGGTTCCCTTTACTCCGCATCCTCACTATTGCTTGTTATCTTTTTTCTTTCTGATAATCACCATTCTAACAAGTATAAGGCAATGTCTAATAGAGGTTTTAATTTGCATTTCTCTGATGATGAGGGATGTTGATCATTTTTCCATATTCCATTTGGCCATTCATATATCTTTTTTTTGAGAAATATCCATTTAGCTTCTTTGCCAATTTTTTAATTGCAGCATTTGTTTATTTGCTATTGAGCTGTTTCAGTTCCTTAAATATTTTGGATATTAACTTCTTGTCAGATGTATAGTGCTATGGTTGGATGTTTGTCTTCTCCAAATCTCATGTTGAAATTTGATTCCCAATGTTAGAGGTGGGGTCTAATGGGAGGTGTTTCAATCGTGGGACAGATCTCTTATAAATATCTTGGTTCTGTCCTTGTGGTAATGAGCAAGTTATTGCTCATTTGGTTCTTGTGAGAGCTGGTTGCTTAAAAGAACCTAGCACTTCCCCTTCTCTCTCTTGCATCCTCTCTCACATGTGATCTCTGCACATGCTGACTTCCCTTCAACTTCCAACATGAGTGGAAGCAGCCTGAATCCCTGACCAGAAACAGATGCTGGCACCATGCTTCTTGCACAGCTTGTATAACTGTGAACCAAATAAACCTAGTTTCTTCATAAATTTGGCAGACTCATTGGTTCCTTTACAGCAACACAAATAGACTAAGACAGAAAAATTGGTACCAAGGAGCAGGGTGTTGCCATAAAGATACTTGAAATGTGGAAAAATGGCTTTGTAACTGGGTAGTGGGCGGAGGTTGGGAGAGTTTGGAGATCTCAGAAGGCAATAAGATGAGGAAATGTGAAACTTTATAGAGATTGCTTAAGTGGTTGTGATCAAAATGCTGATAGAAATATAGACAGTAAAGGCCATGCTGGTGATGTCTCTGGTGGAAATGAGAAACATATTGGTAATTGGAGAAAAGGGACCCTTGTTACACCTTAGCAAATAACTTAGCTGCATTATATGCATGACCTAGGGTTTTGTGGAAGGATTAAGAGTGATGACTTAGGGCACCTGGAAGAAGAAAGTTCTAAGAAGCAAAGTATGGAAGAAGTAATGTGGCTACTTTTAACAGCTTACTATCAGATATAGGAACAAAGGAATGACCTAAAGTTGAAATTTATAATTAAAAAAGAAACAGAGTATAAAAGTTTGGAAATTTTGTAGCCTGGCCATGTGGTAGAAAAGGAAAGAGTGTTTACAGGAGAGAAAGTCAAGTGTGCTAAGGAGCAAACATTTACTAGAGAGATTGACATAGATAAAAGGGAACTAGATGTTAATAGTCAAGACAAGGGGAAATGGGTCCTGAATGCATTTCAGAAACCTTCAAGGCCTGGGGCACTGCTGCCCTGCACTACCTGCTGCTTCCTATCTTCTGGCCGCTTCACTTCCACCTCCAGCCATGGCTCAAAGAGACACAGGTACTGCATGGGTCATCACTCTGGAGGGTGCAAGCCATGAGCATTTGTGGCATCCATGTGGTGTTAAGTCTGCAGATGCACAGAATGCAAGAATAATGGAGGCTTGGAAGCTTCTACCAAGATTTCAGAGGATGTACTGGAAAGCCTGGGTGTGCAGGCCTGCCACAGGGGTGGAGCCACTGCAGAGGGTATTCACTAGGGCAGTGCATATTGGAGCCATAGCAACAGGGGCCTTACTTTTGAGACCCAAGAATTATAGAGCCACCAGCCGTGTACCTGCTCAGTCTGGAAAAGTCACAGGCATTCAACTACAATATATGCAAGCAGCCAAATGGGCTGCTCCTAGCAAAGCCATGTTGGCGAGCAGGGCTGCCTGAAGCCTTGGGAGCCAACTCCTTGCACCAGTGTGCTCAGGGTGTGGAACATGGAGTCAAAGACTATCTTGGAGCTTTAACATTGAATGTCTGCCCTGCTGGCTTTCAGACTTGCATGAGGTCTGTTACCCCTATCTTTTAGCCCATTTCTCCCTTTTGAAATTGGAGTGTTTACCTAATGTCTGTTCCATCATTGTATTTTGGAAGTAAATAACTTGACTTTGACTTTACAGGCTTGTAACTGTAAAGAACTTGCCTTGAGTCTCAAATGAGACTTTTATGTTAGACTTTTGAGTTGATGCTGGAACACGTTAAAACTTTGGGGGACTATTGGGATGGAATGAATGGAATGATAGTATTTTGTATGTGAGGACATGAGATTTCAGGGGCCAGGTATAGAATGAAATGGTTTAGATATTTGTCCTCTCTAAATCTCATGTTAAAATTTGATCCCCAATATTGGAGGTGAGGCCAATGGGAAGTGTTTTGTTCATGGGAGTGGATATCTCATGAATGTCTTGGTGTTATCTTCATGGCAATGAGTGAATTCTCACTTGATTAGTTCCTGTGAGAGCTGGTTGTTTAAAAGAGTCTGACACTTCCCTCCTCTCTCTCTTGCTTGTTTTCTCTCACATGGGATGTCAGCACACACTGGTACCCCCTTTACCTTCCACCATGAGTGGAAGTAGCCTGAGTGCCTCACTAGAAGCAAATGTTGACACCACGCTTCTTGCACAACCTGCAGAAACATGAGCCAAATAAACTTAAAAATATATAAGTTAGCCAGGTTCAGCTATTTCTTTATAGCAATGAAAATAGGCTGAAACACATAGTTTGGATATATTTTCTCCCATTATGTAGGTTGTCTCTTCACTCTGTTGATTGTTACTTTTGTGTGCAGAAATTTTTTAGTTTGATGTTCTACTTGTACATTTTTGCTTCTTGTGGCTATGTTTTTGATATCATATCCTAAAAATCTTGGTCTGGACCTACGCCATGGAAATTTTTCCCCTGCTTTCTTCTAACAGTCTCATAGTTTCAGTTCTTATATTTAAGTCTCTAATTGATTTTGAGTTGATTTTTTATGTGGTATGAATTAAAGGTCTATTTTTATTCCTTTGCATCTGGTTTTCTCAACACCTTTTCATGAAAAGACTGTCCTTTCCCCATAACATGTTCTTGGCATCTTTGTCAAAAATCAGCTGGCTGTAAATGTGTGGATTAACTTCTGGGCTCTCTATTCCTTTTCATTTGTCTATGTTTTTGTTTATATTCCAGTACCATGCTCTTTTGGTTACTTTAGCTTTGTATTACACAGATGACCATCGTACAACAAATTTAAACTGCACAGGTCCACTTATACCCAGATTTTCTTCCACCTTTGCCACCCATGAGACAGAAAGACCAACCCTCTTCATCTTCCTCCTCCTCCTCAGCCTACTCAACATAAAGACAATAAAGATGAAGAACTTTATGATGACCCCTTCCACTTAATGAATAGCAAATATGTTTTCTCTTTCTTATGATTTTCTTAACATTTTCTCTAGTTTGCTTTACTGTAAGAATACAATATATTATACATATAATATAGATAATAAGTATTAGTTGACAGTTTTTATTGTTGATGAGGCTTCCAGTCAACAGTAGGTTATTAGTAGTTAAGCTTTGGGGGGTCAAATTTTATACATGGATTTTTGACTGTATGGGCAGTTGTGCACTTAACCCCTGTGTTGTTCAAGGGTCAAATGTATTTCAAAATAAGGTAGTGTGATGCCTCTGATTTTGCTCTTTTTGCCCAAGATTGTTTTGGCTATTTAGGGGTCTATTGTGGTTTCATATAAATTTTCGTATTTTTTTATATTCCTATGAAGAATAACATTGATATTTTAGTAGGGATTGCATTGTATTTGTAGATTGCTTTGGGTAGTATGAACATTTTAAGAATATTAATTCTTCTAATACATACACATGGGATATCTTTCCATTTATTGGTTTTTTTCTTTAGTTTCATTCCTCAGTGTTTTAAACTTTTCATGTAGTGATCTTGCACCTCCTTGGTTAAATTTATTCCTAAGCATATTATGTTTTGTCGTTATTTTCAATGGGATTTTTCAAAATTTCTTTTTCAGATTGTTCAATGTTAGTGTATAGAAATGCTACTGATTTTTGAATGTTGATTTTATATCCTGCAGCTTCACTGACTTCATTTATTAGTTCTAACAGTTTTTTTCCCCCCTTTGGTGGAGTGTTCTGGTTTTTGGTTTTTTTTAAATCATATAAGATCATGTCATGTAAACAGGGACAATTAAACCTCTTTGTTTCCAATTTGGATGCCTTTTCTTTCTTTTCTTCTCTTGCCTAATTGATCTGTCTTGGACTTCTAATACTATGTTGAATAGAAGTATTCAGAGTGGGCAGCCTTGTATTATTCCTGATCTTTGAGCAAAAGCTTTCAACTTTTCCTTGTTGGGTATGATGTTAACTGTAGGTTTGTTATGTATAGCCTTTAATGTTCCTGGTAAATTCCTTCTATACCTAATTTCTTAAGAGTTTTTATTATTTAAAATGTTTAATTTGGTCAGATGCTTTTTTTTTTGCATCTATTGAAATGATTATATGGTTTTTGTTCTTATTCTGTTCATGTGATGTATCACTGATATTGTTTGGCTGTGTCTCAACCCAAATGTCATCTAAAATTGTAGCTCCCATAATTCCCACATGTTGTGGGAGGGATCTGGTGGGAGATAATTGAATAATGGGAGTGGTTTTCCTCATACTGTTCTCATGGTAGTGAATAAGTCTCATGAGATCTGATGATCTTATAAGGGGTTTCCCCTTTCACTTGGCTCTCATTTTCTCTCACCCAGCACCATGTAAGACATGACTTTTGCTTTTTGCCGTAATCATGAGGCCGCCACTGCCACGTGGAACTGTGAGTCCACTAAACCTCTTTTTCTTTATAAGTTATCCAGTCACAGGTATGTCTTTATCAGCAGTGTGAAAATGGACTAATACAATCACATTTATTGATTTGCATATATTAAACCAGTCTTGTATCCCTGGGATAAATTCCACTTGATCATGAAGAATGATCTTTTTAATATGCTGTTGAATTTGGTTTGCTAGCATTTTATTGTGGATTTTTGCATCTTTGTTCTTCAGGGATTTGGCCTATAATTTTCTTTTATCTTTTAGAGACAGAGTCTTTCTTGGTCACAAAGGCTGGAGTGCAGTGGAGTGATCATGGCTCAGTAGTGCCTTGACCTCCTGGGCCCAAGCGATCTCTCCCTCCCCAGCTTCCCAAGTAGCTGGGACTGCAGGTGCATACCACCACCACACCCAGATAATTTTTGTGTGTTTTGCAGAGATGAGGTTTTGCCATGTTGCCCAGCCTGGTCTCCTGGGTTCAAGCGATCTGCTTGCCTCCCAAAGTGCTGGGATTACAGGTGAGAACCACTGCACCCAGCCTTGGCCTATAATTTTCTTTTCTTGTAATGTCCTTTCTGTCTTTGGCACGAGGGAAATGCTACCATTGTAAAATGAAATTGGAAGTATTTCTCCGGTTTTTTTTTTTTTTTGGAAGAGTTTGAGAAGAATTGATATTGCTTCCTCTTTAAAAGTTTGGTAGATTTCAACCATAAAGCTATTTAGTCTTGGGCTTTCCCTTTTGGGAGACTTTATTACTGTTTCACTCTTATTACTTGTAATTGGTCTTTCAGGTTTTTATACCTTCTTTGTTCAATCTTTGTAGATTGTATATGCCCAAGAATTATCCATTTCCTAAGTTATCCAATGTATTGGCATATTAAATGTTCATAATAGTTTCTTATGATCATTTGTATTTCCATTCTGTCAGTTGTAACATTTCCTTTCTGATTGTATTTATTCGACTCTTCTCTCATTTTTCTTATTCTAGCTAAAATTTGTCAATTCTTTTTATCTTCTCAAAAAACCAACTCTTACTTCTGTTGATTTTTTTGTATTTTTCTAATCTTTATTATTTTCTTTTCATCCTTTATTATTTTCTTTATTGTTTTATTATTTTTCTTCCTTTTACTAACTTTGAGCTTAGTTTGCTCTTGTTTTTCTACTGCCTTGAGGTGCAAAGTTAGGTTGTTTATTGGAGAACTTTCCTTTTACTGTAGGGGTTTATTGCTATAAACTAGTACTTTATAGTTTATATATAGCAAGTTGTTTATAGTTTATAGCAATAGTTCTAGTTTATAGACATAAACTTTATCAGTTTTCTCTATCACTTTCTCTGTCACTATTCTCTTTACAGACATAAACTAGAATTGCTTTTGCTGTATCCCATAAGTTTTGGTATGTTGTGTTTCTACATTTGTTTTTCTGAAAAAAAAAATTAAAAAATTTCCTTTTAATTTCTTAAATGTCCCATTTCTTTAACAGCATGTTGCCTAATTTCCTTGCACTCGTGAATTTTATGAAGTTTTTTTTTTCTGTTATTGTTTCTCATTTTATACCACTGTGGTCAGAAAAGATACTTGATATAGTTCTTAAACTTGCTAAGACTTGTTTTGTGGCCTAACATATAATCTTTCCTTGAAAATGTTAGATGCACAGTTGAGAAGAATGTATATTCTGCAACTATTGGATGTGGTGTTCTGTTTAGGTCTGTTAGGTCCATATGATCATATGGTTGGGAGTGTAGTCTAAGTTTCAGGTTTCCTTACTGGTTATCCATCAAGATCATCTGTCCATTGCTGAAAATTGGATTTTTAAAGTCCCTATTATGGTTGTGTTGCAGTCTATCTTTCTTTCTTTCTTTTTTTTTTTTTTTTTTTTTTTTTTTTGAGATAGAGTTTCACTCTGTCGCCCAGGCTGGAGTGCAGTGGCGCAACCTCGGCTCACTGCAGCCTCTGCCTCCCGGGTTTAAGCAATTCTCTGTCTCAGCCTCCTGAGTAGCTGGGATTACAGGTGCCTGCCACCATGCCTGGCTAATTTTTGGTATTTTTGGTAGAGACCGGGTTTCACCATGTTAGCCAGGATGATCTCGATCTCCTGACCTTGTAATCCACCCGCCTCAGTCTCCCAAAGTGCTGGGATTACAGGCATGAGCCACCGCGTCCGGCTGTTGCAGTCTATCTTTCTTTTCAAATCTATTAATATTTGCTCTATATAATTAACTGCTTTGATTCTGGGTGCATATATATTTACACTTGTTATATCCTCTTGCTGATTTGATCCCTTTATCATTTTATAAAGACTTTCTTGTGTCTTCTTACAGTTTTTAACTTAAAGTCTATTTTGTCTGATATAAGTATAGCTACTACTGTTAAATTTTGATTTCTGTTTGCATGGTATATCTTTTTATATCACTTTACTGTCAGTTTACATGTATTTTTAAAGGTGAAGTGAGTCCCTCCTAGGCAGCATATTATTGGTCTTGCTTTTTTTTTTTTTAATCCATATAGTCATTTTGTTTTTTGTTTGAAGATTTTGATCTATTTAAGTTCGAGTTAATGATTGATATATAAGGACTTATTACTGCTATTTTGTGAATTGCTTTCTAATTGTTTTGTAGATCCTTTTTTCCTTTCTTTCTCTCTTTTTGTCTTCCTTTGTGGTTATGTGACTTTCTCCAGTTATATGTTTTGATTCCTTCCCCTTTATTTTTTGTGCGTCTACTCTAGGATTTTGCTTTGTGGTTATCATGAGGCTTATAAAATAATCTTATAGCAAATTATTTTAAGCTTTTAATAATTTGGTAATTAAAAATAACACTTTTACTCTACTCCCCTTACCTTTTGAATTTCTAATGTCATAATTTACAACTTTTTATACTGCATACCGCTTACCAAATTATTGTTGCTCTTATTATTTTAATAGTTTTATCTTTTAACCTTCATACTAAAGATATAAGTGATTTACTTACCACTAGTATAGTATTATTCTAAATTTAACTGTGTACATACTTTTAACAGTGAATTTTATACTTCCAGATATTTTTGCATTACTCATTAGCATACTTTTCTTTCAGTTTAAAGAACTCCCTTTAGCATTTCTTGTAAGACGGATCTGATAGGGATGAACTCTCTCAGCCTTTGTTTGTCTGGAGAAGTATTTATCTCTCCTTATTTTCTGAAGGACAGTTTTAGGTGGTACAGTATTCTTGGCTAGCAGTTTTCTCTATCACTTCAAATATATCATCATACTCTCCCCTAGCCTATAAGGTTTCTGTTGAGAAATTTGCTGATAGCCACATTGGAACTTCTTTGTAAGTTATTTGCTTCTTTTCTCTTGCTATTTTCAGGATCCTCTCTTTGTTTTGATTTTTGACCCTTTGATTATAACATGGGGAGGTAGTCTTGTTTGGATTGAATCTGAATAAAGCCCTTTGACCTTTCTATACCTGAATATTGAAATCTTTCAATAAACTTTAGAAATTTTTTGCTATTATTTCTCTAAAAATCTTTCTATTATTTCATCTTTCTCTTCTCCTTTAACTCCTATGGCTCAAAAATTTACTCCTTGAATGCTGTTCCATAAATCCTATAAGCTTTTAATTCTTTTTTCTTTTTTCTCTCAGAGTGTATATTTTCAAATAACCTTATTTTGAGTTCACAGATTCATCTACTTAATCAAAGCTGATATTGATGCTTTCCATCTCATTTATCAGTTCTTTCTTTTATTGTATAGTTCCATCTCCAAAATGTCCATTTGATTGTCTGTTTTAATTATTTCAATCTGCTTTTACATTTCTCATTCTGGTTTATTGTTTCCTCATTTCGTTAAATTGTTTTTCTATATTCTTGAAGTTCATTGAGTTTCCTTAAACCGGTTTTTTGAATTATTTGTCAGGCAGTTTATATAGCTTCATTTCTTTAGAGTCAGTCATAGTGGCAATTTTGTCTTTTTAGCGATGCTATATTTCTCTGATTGTTCTTCATTTTTGTGGCTATGCATCAAAGTTTGCATATTTGAAGAAGTAGATACTTATTACAGTATTTGAAGACTGACTTTGTCTGAGAAAGCCCCTCAACAGTCAACAGGCAAGCCTTGTGATGTGGTTCCAAAGCCCAGGGCCACTGGAGCTTGTATGGTACTGGGGCATACGAGAAGACTGGGCTGTCTGTGGTTGACACAGCATTGAGGCAAGCTGTAAGTCTGAGGCTACTGAGTGCAAACTGAAGACTGCATCTGAAGCCTAAGGCCTGGAGCTGCTGGGTTCCACTTGGCACCAGGGCAAGTCAGGAGTTTCAGTCCATGGGTACTGGCCTGAAGTCTGGAGTTCTGGGGGCCTGCCTGGTGCTGGGTTTTACCATGGTAGGCCTAGTTTTGGGGTCCAAATCTTATGCTCACTCTTTCCCTCAAATCGATGGTATCTTCCTCCTCACTGTGCTGTCTGTGTTTGGAGGTGCAGTGACATGGGTATGAAAAATGGTCCTTCCTACACTCTTTAATACATATTTTTTTCTTATTGTGCTATGACTGGGTACTGTGATTTCTCACCTGGTTTCTTTTGCTCTTGTAAAAGTATTCTTGTACGTATATAGTTGTTCAAGTTGATATTTCTGAAAGGGCATGATTGTTGGAGAGTCCTATTCTGCTATCTTGCTCCAACCCTTCTTCTGAGATTTCTTCTTTAGAAATACCAATTATGTGTCTTTTTCTGTTGTCTATATTTATCATATTCTCTGTACTTTCTGTTATATCATTGTTCTTTACTATTTAACTTTGTGTAATTTTCTGTAGTCTTATGACTTACTCTATTTTTAGCAGCTTTGAATCTATATTCCAATAAAGATTATTTAATATAATTCTATATTAAATCTACATGCCTTTCATTTCTCTGTGGATTTACTGTCACTATCTATTTCATTCATAAGTTCTGTTAGGTAACTTAGTATTTCTTTTGATTGTTTCTTCATCTATTTTAAAATCTCTTGTGTCCATTTGTTCTATTTCAAACCTTGTAAATGATTTTTCTCAAGCTTTCTTTTGAGTTCTACTTTTGATGTGAAATTTTCAATTTTATTTTGTTTGCTTTATTTTTCTCATTATCATGGTGTTAATGTTGCTATTGTAGGACTTGAGCACAGGTGCAATGATGAATCCTTTAAACTTGGCATGGGCTTAGATTGTCACCCTGTGGAATAAAACAGAATCCACATAGACTTGTTCTCTGATGATCTCTTAGCCGATTTTTATCTTAACATTCTGAGATTCTTTAGAAAAAATTGCTAATAGGGCCTTCCACTATAGCCTAACATACTTTTAGAGAAAACTGTACCTTATTTAAGATTTTTAGCAGCCTTCATGATTATCTCTAGATTTGGTGCAAATTTTACTATTATATATTCTTTTAGTTTGTGATTTGAACTTATAGATGTTTCTTGGTCTTATAGAAATAGAGGTTTTATCTCTTTCATTTTTTAATGATCTGTGATTCAGGTAGATGCATTAAATAAAATTGCATATTTTGCTCTCTTTACTTTTATTATGAAAGCACCAAGGTAATTATTTTTACACTCCCCTCTACTTATCAAACCATATTCATTAGTTTTCTATTACCCCATATAAATTGCCAGAAACATAGTAGCTTAAAACAACAAACATTCATTATCTTACCATTCTGTAAGTAAGAAGCATTAATGACTTTAATTGAGTTTTCTGGTTGAGTCTTTCAAGACTGATGGGGAGAATCAATTTTCAAGGTTATTCAGGCTGTTAGCAGAGGTCAATTTCTCTTGGTGGTAGGGCTGAAGCCTTTTTTTTTTTTTTTTTTTTTTTTTTTTCTGGCTGTCAGCTGAGAGATTCCCTCACAGCTCTTTAAGGCCTTCTACATCCCTCATTACATTGGCCCTTCCATCTCCAAATCAGCAATCATGTGTGGAGTCATCTCACACTTTAAATCTCTCTGGCTCCTCTTCTGTCTTGTCTCTTCTGCCACCAGCTAAGAACTCAGTTTTCAATGACTTATGCAATTACATTGGAGCCTCCCAGATAGTCCAGAATAATTTATTTAAAAGTCCTTAAACTTAATTACTTCTGTGAAAGTCTCTTTTGCCATTTAACATAACATATTCACAGGTTCCAGAGCTTGAGGCACCAGTGTCAGTAGGGGGCCATTATACATCTCACTATAGACATTAAAGAGGGTGATCATATTTCCTAAGACATTCCAATCCTTAGCCCACATGCTTTCTAGATTAAAGTTTTTACTCTTCTGGAATAATATACATCATAATTAGATATGTCTCTTTGCCTGTTAGAACCTATATATTTCATTTTCTTGCTTAAATTAATTAAAATACAATAGCTTTCTGTACTTAGAATTTAAACTCCCATGGTTCAAGAGATGGGCTCTAATTACTACTCTTTAATCCCACACTCTTTTGCTCCACCCCCCTCATTATTAACTCTGTCCAACAAAATTGCTCACTCTGGTTTTTCAATTACACTTGACTTTGCCTCAAGTCCTTTAGACTTTTTCTTTCTTCTTCATCAGACATTCTTGTCACGATCTGTGCCTGACTCTGTTTGTCATTTAGGTTCAAATAAAATGCCATCTTTTCAAAAATGCCTTCCCTGACCATTTTTGAGATGTCTGCTCATCACTCTCCTTGGCAATTATCATCCATTTAAGTATTTTTGTGGCATTTATCCTTATGTCCCTTCCTACATAGATGATAGAGAATGATTTAAGGATTGTACTTCTGAGTCATATCTGGCCTTACTAGTAAGTGGAAATATAAAAGTGATCCGGTAGATTTTTTTTATTATACTTTAAATTTTAGGCTACATATGCACAACGTTCAGGTTTGTTACACATGTATGCATGTGCCATGTTGCTGTGCTACACCCATTAACTAGTCATTTACATTAGGTATATCTCCTAATGCTATCCCCCCTTCCCCCACCCCACAACAGGCCCTAGGGTGTGATGTTCCCCTTCCTGTGTCCAAGTGTTCTCATTGTTCAATTCCCACCTATGAGTGAGAACATGCAGTGTTTGGTTTTTTGTCCTGGCAATAGTTTGCTGAGAATGGTGTTTTCCAGCTTCATCCATGTCCCTACAAAGGACATGAACTCATCCTTTTTTATGGCTGCATAGTATTCCATGGTGTATATGTGCCACATTTTCTTAATCCAGACTATCATTGTTGGACATTTGGCTTGGTTCCAAGTCTTTGCTATTGTGAGTAGTGCCACAATAAACATACATGTGCATGTGTCTTTATAGCAGCATGATTTATACTCCTTTGGGTATATACTCAGTAATGGGATGGCTGGGTCAAATGGTATTTCCAGTTCTAGGTCCCTGAGGAATTGTCACACCGACTTCCACAATGGTTGAACTAGTTTACAGTCCCACCAACAGTATAAAAGCGTTCCTATTTCTCTACATCCTCTCCAGCACCTGTTGTTTCCTGACTTTTTAATGATCTGGTAGATTTTTAGAAACCTGTCACCTAGTGGCTTGAGAAAGGAATCGTTTCTTAAATAATTTTATCTGTAATGTTAGAGTCATACTCATTGAGCTACGGAGTAAAAATGTTAGTGAAAAGTCATGCAGTCTAGGTTCTAATACCAGTTAGTGATGGGAAAGTCATTGCATCTTTCCCTCAGCTTTCCATTTCTTCTCATATAAAACAAGGGAGATAGACAATTTAATCTCTGTTTATCTTTTACTGGAAAGGTCAGTGGTTTTGAGTTCTGAAGTCAGTTTGATATTAAGAAGTTCCAAAATTCCAGGATTCTTTAAAGTGTGGTCAGCATGTCTCTGCAGGTTCCCAAGACCCTTTTAGAGGATTTTTGAGGTTTAAAGTGCTTTTTAAAAATATTAAGATTTGCTCGGGCGTGGTGGCTCATGCCTGCAATCCCAGCACCTTGGAAGGCCAAGGCAGGAGGATCACCTGAGGTCAGGAGTTCGAGACCAGTCTGACCAACATGGAGAAACCCCGTCTGTATTAAAAATACAAAATTATCCGGGTGTGGTGGTGCATTCCTGTAATCTCAGCTATTTGGGAGGCTGAGGCAGAAGAATCAGTTGAACCTGGGAGGCAGAGGTTGCAGTGAGCTGAGATTATGCCATTACACTCCAGCCTGGGCAACAAGAGTGAAACTCCATCTCAAAAAAAAAAAAAATTAAGATTTGTTTATCCTTTTCACTATGTTGACATTTACACTGATGATGCAAAGGTAAAAACTACTGGGACCTTAGCACAAATCAAGGCAGTGGCACCAAACTGTAAACATAATTATTGCATTTGTCAGGACACTGAAAAAAATATATTCATATAAAAAATCTGTTTTACTTAAGAATGTTTTTAGTAAAGCAGTAAAAAATATTAAATTTTTAAAATCTTGACCTCAGAGTACACATATTTTTAATATTCTGTGTGAAAAAATGGGAGGCTAGTATAAAACACTTTTGCTACATACTGAAGTATCAAATTATGGTGGTTGTCTAAAGGAAAATAACTGTGTGATTGAGTTGCAAGTGGAATCAACCACTGTTTTATAAAATACAATTTATTGTACATAAAAGGATGTCAGATAAAATAGGGTTATTCAGACATGGGTATTTGGCAGACATATTTCAAACTTTGAAGAAGGCAAACCTGCCAATTCAGAAAATACTGCTGACAGTATTGTTGCCAAAAATAAAATGAGCTTTCAAGTGAAAATTTGAGTTTTTAAAATTTGTATCAACCTCCCAAACACTTGAAGACTTTTTAATGAGAGAATGTTATATTAATGAATGTTTTTAAATATTGAATAATGAAATATGTCAACATATGAAAGATCTCAGAGATAACTTGGTGAACCAATATTTTCTAAATGAAAAATTCATGATATTACAATTCATGAATAAAAGATATACTCCAAATATAAAATAGAGCAATTAACTTAATATAACAGCATAAAAAGTTCACTGACGTGATTTCAGATTCCAAATTGCAATAACATTTAAAATAGTACTACTTGTTGAATTTGAGTGTAGTATCAAAGAACAACATCCACATTTATCTCAAAAGATTTTTAAATTCTCCTTTCCTTTTTTTTTCAATTTTTTGGGGTACACAGTAGGTGTATATATTTATGGGGTATGTGAGATGTTTTGATATAGGTATGTAATGTGAAATAAGCACATCATGAAGACTGGGGTATCCATACCCTCAAGCACTTATTCTTTGAATTGCAAACATTCCACTTACACTCTAAGTTATTTTAAAATGTACATTCAATTTATTATTGTCTTCTTTCCAACTGTGTAACTGTGTGAGGCTGGATTTTCTTTACATACCTCAACCAAAATAATGTATTCTAACAAATCAAATGTAGAAGCAGATATGAGAAAGCAACTGTCTTCTATTTAGCTAGATATTAAAGAAATTTCAAAAATGTAAAACAGGGCCACTTTTTTCACTAAAATTACTTGTGTATTGGAAAATGATGTTAAATTTAATAAAATTTGTTACTTATTTAACACGTAATGAATTTGTTATAATTTTAAATGAAGTAATAAATATTTTAAATTTTAACTAATCTTTATTTTAAATATTTATTTTAAAAATATTTAAATTAAATATTAACATTTATCAGAACAATTTTCTATTAACTAACATTATATTTTCAGTTTTGTTTTTAGTATGTTTTAGCACAAATATCCATGAACAAATTATGCAATAAAAATATTTAAATTAAATATTTTAATTTCTAATATAGTAAGCTGCAATAGATACAATCCATATAAACAAAAGCTCTTTGCAGTCCTCCTTAATTTTTAGGAGAGTAAAGGGGTCTTAAGACCAAAAAGTTTGAGAACTGTTGGTATGAACAGAGACAAAAATGTTTGTTCAGTAGGGTTAACTACTTTTTAAAAATTGTGTCCTTTGATGCACATTTTTAATTTTGATGTATTCCAGCTTATCAATTTTTTTCTTTTGTTGCCTGTGCTTTTGGTGTCTTATTCAAGAAACCATTGCCAAATCCAGTATCACGAAGTTTTCCTCTGTTTTCTTTTAAGAATTTTATAGTTTTAACTCTTACATTTATGTCTTTCATCCAATTTGAGTTCATTTTTGCATGTATTAGGTGGTCAGGGTCTGATTCCATTCTTTTATACGTGGATATCCAATGTTTCCAGTACCATTTATTGAAAAGATTATTCCTTCTCCATTAAATGGTCCTGACACCTTTGTTAAAAATCATGTGATGGCTGGGTATGGGGGCCTGTAATCCAAGCACTTAGGGAGGCCGAGGCAGGCAGGCTCCTTTGAGGTCAGGAGTTTGAGGCCAGCCTTGCCAACACGGTGAAACCCCATCTCTACTGAAAATAGAAAAATAAGCTTTATGTGGTAGCAGGAACCTGTAATTCCAGCTACTTGGGAGGCTGAGGCAGGAGAATCACCTGAACTTAGGAGTCGGATGTTGCAGTGAGCTGAGATTGGGCCACTGCACTCCAGCTTGGAAGACAGTGAGACTCTGTCTCAAAAATAAAAATAAAAAATCATTTGACCATCTATGTGAGAGTTTATTTCTGGGCTCTCGATTCTATTCCATTGGTCTGTATGTCATTTCCTATGCCAGTATCATACTATTTTAATTAATGTAGCTTCACAATGAGTTTTGAAATCAGAAAGTATGCGTTCTCTAGCTTTGTTCTTCTTTTTCAAGATTGTATTGATTATTCTGGATGCTTTGAGATTCCATATAGATTTTAGTATGGATTTTTCTATTTCTACCCAAAAATGTTAGTCGAGATTTTGATAGAATTTGCATTAAATCTGTAGATCACTTTGGGTAGTATTGACGTCTTAGCAATATTAAGTCTTCTAATTAATGAATATGAGGTGTCTATTTATTTTCATCTTTAATTTCTTTCAAAAATATTTTGTAGTTTTCAGTGTACAAGTATTTTGCACCATTGACTAAATTTATGGATAATTTGAACAATTTCATTCTCAGATGTATTCAATTAAATAATTTGTCTATGGATATTTGTACCAAAACATACAAAAACAAAAGTGAAAATATGTTAGTTAATAAGAAATTTTTCTGATATATATAATAAAAGGAAACATCATATTAGTTAACAAGAAATTGTTCTGATTTATGAAGTAGAAGGGAATTGAAAGCATTATTTCCAAATTATGCCACATAAATTCAACCAAATATGTGTTTAACATATCACCACAAACTTCTCTCACAGTCTTGCACTTTGCTTTACATTTGTTCAAATAGAACCCCATGGATAAGATGCTTTTGGGTAAGAATGCCAAGAGATGACATGAAATGGAAGTTGGCATAACTATGGTTAACCTGAGCATGTTGGAAACTGAGGAAAGGCTGAATGTTACATGCAGCCTGTGAATCAGAGTGAATGGAAGAACCAGGGTGACCAACACCTGGCAAAATAGGCTGGAAATTGTGGGCATAATGGTCACCAACAATTTCCAAGTAACGAATAGCTGATTGATGGATAGTATCAAGAAAACCAACAACTCACGTTTCTCTCTCTGGAGCATAGCCATGCTTATACTGGATTTTGTGGCTAAAACAGGACTCATTTATTTGCAAATAATGACCTGGGCTACCAACCTGTATCAGATGCAGTTCAAAGTAATGCTTGCATACTTTGTGAGAGAAATTGTAGATATCAACCATAGTATTGGCTGAAATTTCATAATAGCAGTGGTTGTTTTCTCTGTGACTTTCATAGACTATAAGAATAAAAAATAAAGCCAGGTTTTTAGGGAAATGTTAGAATTTGCAAAAAAGATACCTTTGAAGCAAGACCCGTAAAGATTGGCAGTTGTGGTAAATGCATTTTGACGAATAGCCATCTTTGCATTGACATCATACCGTAAGAGTTGGTGACATGAGGAACGTCCAGGAGACACAGATAACAAATTACACTGCTTTAATAACTTAGGAGCTTGACAATAATAGGTGGTAGTGTATCTTAAAATAAATGCTTCTGCATTGGGAGAGGTGAAATGACAATTTTCTTAAAAATAAAACTAGTAAATAAAACAAAATTTGAATTTGACCCACAGGGTTTGATCACAATTGAGAAATTTGACTCACCACAATTAACTTTGATCTGCTAGGACAAATCATTCAGTTGATTCAAGTTTATTCTTAAATACTTTATTCTTTTGATGCTTCAGTAGGGTTGACTGTTGCTTGTAAGCAACATTTATAGAACATAAGCAGTGTTCTGGTTTGAAATAGAACATCATCATATGGATCACATCTTCAGTTTATACTAAGGAAGGGGACAATGCATTGTAATACACACCATAAAGGAAGTTATCACAGCGAGTTATTGGAGAACATAGAGCAATCATTTGTACCCTAACTTGAGATACGTATATAATCTTGGAAGTTACATCTCAGTGGAACCTTTAAAGATTCTCTAGTTTGAATGTTTGTCTCTCTAAAACTCATGTTGAAACTTGATACCTAATATAACAGTATTAAGAGGTAGAGCCTTTAAGAGGTGATTGGGTCATGAGTACTCTGCCCTCATGAATGGGTTAATCTATTCATAGATTAATGGATTGATGGGTTAGCATGAGAGTGAATTTGTTATAAAAGCCAGTTTGGCTCTCTCTTATGTGCCCCTTTGCCCTGTGATGCCTTCCACCGTGTTTTGGTGCAGCACAAGGCCCTCACTAGAAGCTGACCAGGTGTGGTCATCCAATCTTGAACTTCCCAGCCTCCAGAACCATGAGCTAAGTAAACCTCTTTCTTTATAAATTTCCCAGTCTCAAGTATTCAGTTATAGAACAGAAAACAGACTAAAATAAAGGAAAAGTAGGCTTGAAAAAGAATAAACGAGGGTGGGCAGGGAAGAATGTCAAAAGTCAAGGGAGGAGCCCCTGCATAATGAATTGGAGGTATGAAACAGCATGATATGTACAGAGAACTGCAAACAGCTTTTGTTATCTGAGTATAGAGTGTGCCTAAAAGAGGTTAGGGGGAGGCAGCTAGAAAAGCAAACATGATCCAGTCTTGATGGTTTTAGCTCAAACTTCTACTCCTGTTAAAACTCAAGTGTTTGCCAAGTCCAGAAATCCCTCACTGACACCTACCCTTTTCTCTAGGTTGTGTTAGGTCCTTACCACAGTGCTCCCATTACTACTTCCTACAAGTGCTCTTAGTTAATACACTTAAGAGCTGTATTATAATCTGTTTATATGTTTAACGTACTGCTTAGAACATACAATTGTTTGTTTAACTTCTCTGAATTGGGTACACAGTTTTGAACAGATAAACTAATGTTTAAAGAGGATAATTTTTGTTGCTATTTGCCTGGTAGTCAGGGCTAACTTAGATTGGAGACAGGAAGGGCAAGTGGAAAGGTTTCATGCAGAAATGAAGTGATTAGCACCTGAGTCAGCATAGTGACTCTGGAAGTAAAAATGGCTCAGAATGTGCTGCCTTTCACCTGTGGTGAAAATATGTATTCCTAGTAAAGCATGGCAGTAGAGTTGACACTGAATGATGATGTATGTAAGCTGAGCTCTGAAGAAAGACCAGTGCACACAAAGATTTTGGGTGGAGCATGAAACTGAGTTTATTTTCTGTTAGGAAAAATGCAATCATAAGTGAGGTATGGAAAATAAAGTAAAAATGGCTGTTTAAATTGTTAAGAGAGGTTTGAGAAGAATTTGAAGTGCCCAGCAACAAAAGTGGCCTCTCATGAAAGGCCCCATGCTTAACTCAAGGCAGCACATGTTTCTTAGACATGAAGCTGAACTAACCATCTGTCTTTTTGACGTCTCCTTGGAAGCACTCAGGTTCTGCTGCCAAGGTCGAGTGCTCCTTTCCTAGGTCTATCCATCTGCACCTACCATGTAATGTGAAGATTTTTATTTTTTCTTTTCAGTAACAAGACAAAATCATTTTAGAAAATAGGTTTTCTCAAGAATTTCAAAGTGTAGTATTAAACTTTAGTAGACTAGTACGAAATAAAATCACTGCTACTCCACTTTTTTTAAAAAAAGAAAGAGAAATGCACAAAATTATTCAAGGTGACAGCAACCACCTTCAACTTTTTGTATGCCAGCAATGCAAAATTTTTTTATACAGTGACCTTGAATCACAACAGTGAAAAGAATCAGGTATAACATATTAGGGGTACTGTAAGACTGCCATGAAAAAGAAAAAATAAGGAATCCTTATAATGTAAAATTCTTATAATCCACCATTTTAAAAATCAGATATTTTATGAGAGCATATTGTTTTTTCTTTTAGGGAGCTTTCAATAATGAGAAAATGTCCCCATTTCAACTAGAATTACTGGAGTAATCTTAGTTACTGCATAGAATATAGTAAAAGTAAAGTGATACATAAATACATGGGTATATATTTTTGCTTTGTAATCATCAAATTTTTTCTCCATTGTCTTTTGAAAACCATGTCATTTATTTTTCAGAGACCTAAGTTGAAGTGAGAAGCAGTATGTCTGTACTAAATTAATGACCAAGCAGAATTTAAACTTTTCAGAAATTTTAATTTGAGACATTCCTTTGCTTTATTTCAATTTTTAAACTAAAATAGGAACTTTTGGTATATATGACTAAAGTAATTAAATGTCATTTAATCTTGTTATAACATATTAACAACTCAAATATTCAGCATTTGGCCTGAAAACAGGAAGGAAGCAATTTTAAAACAGCTAAAATTGATGATAAATAATACTAAAGCTTGGATACTTTACTACTAGGAAAGTCTTATAAGTACTGCCTTTAATTTTAGTTTTATATTGCATAGCAGTCCAATAAGATTCATCATCTCATTTTTTAAATCCCAGGAAATCAAGAATATCACAGTTGAATAGTGAAGTGTCATTGTTACAAGCAGACACACAGTAAAGTAAGGAGCTAATATGGCAGCAAGGCAGGAGATATTTCTCCAAAATGAACACACACACCCACAAAGAACAAAAGCAAATTGTTTGGCCCTTTAATATATGGCAAAACATTACTAATCTTAGTGTTCCCTGTATATACAGGTGCTTACAGCACAGTACCTTTATTGATGTTTAGCATTACATCCTGAATCATCTAGAAAAGATTAAGTAATGTACAGTAATAAATGCATTTTTAGAAAATATAATAAAAAAATTTTAACTCTTGTCAGAAAAGACCAAACAGTTTTGTCTTTGAAGAATTTATCTATGCAGACTTATTTCTTAATGACTCGGAGTAACTATGATTTTTCAGTGGTTTGAGTTAACTGGTAAGCCAATGTTTGCAATAACCAGTGTATTCCTTTGTGTGACAACTGTATTAGAAAATTAAAATATTATGATTTCTTATTGATCATTTTATATTTGTACTGGGGAAAATAGCTAAATAGGACCTCCTAATTTCTAGGCAAAAGTCAGTTCACAAATTGGCTTGTATGTCAATATCACGTAATTCATAAGAATGTTGCTAGACTTTCATACGCCACACAATTAGTTCATGGTGGAAATAAAACTGCCATTAGTTCCTGATTACCAGTTTGACATTATATTATCATTTCTGATTCTACTCAGCATGTTTGTTAAAGAATAAAGTGATTCTATTTACATTTTTAAAATGTTACTTTGGTAAAAAACATGTTTTGAGAAGCTGTTGAATGGAATAAAGATATTAGGCAAGACAAATTACTGCTCCCTCTAGCAGTTTAAAATATAGTTAGAAACTAAGACTGAAATAAGGGAAGGAGGAATGAAGAAAAGAACTATTGAATACCTCATGGATGTCAGGCTTTGTGTTCAATATAATTAAAAAATTTGATTCTCAAGAATTCCCGTGTTACAGATGAATAATGTGAAACTCAGTCTATATTTGAACAACTGGTAATTAGCAAAATTGGAGTCCTAACTATGGCCTGTCTGGCTTTAAAATCCTGCTCTTTCCACTCTCCTCCATGGCACCCAGGAAAATGCATGGTGGAAAATGCATGATACAAAAATAAGACCTCAAGAACAGCCAAAGGAGATCAGTGGCATGGGGTGGATAAGAAAAAGTGTCATTAGAAAAGAGAAGTTTTTATAGATCTCACACACATACACACACACAAATCTTGATAAGAGGAGTGGGAGGGGCAATTTATTCACATTTGGGTAACCAAGTATCATAAAATAACTATTCTGATTCTTATATGAAAGGTTAATATCTTGTTTTAAGAAGGTGGCAGTAATATCAGGAAAACATTTTCATTTTTACAGAGTACATATTCACCATACATTCCAGGATTCTTCAAAATTATGTAAATATAAAAATTTCCCTGAAAAATAGTAAACAAATTTAGAATTTTTCAAAATGATAAAAATTGCATAACTTATAAAAATGCAATTTCATATGAATATATTTCTCTGCATATTGATATTAAGTGTTAAAGTTAATACTAGTAGTTGACATTTACTTTTTCTTTGCCAGCCACTGACTTGAGAAAATTGCATGTATCACCTCAATTAATCCTCAGAATAACAATATAAAATACTCTTGTCATCTCCACTTAACAGACCTGTAAACTGTGATACAGAATACCTAAGTAACTTGTCCAAGGTAACACATTGGTGCTGTATACATTTATGTCCTTCATATCCTTCTGTATCCCTATTCATTTTTCTATGTGTTCTGGGAGCAGGCTGGCTTCATGAGCATGTGACCTACACAGATGCACAGGGTTCCACACTCAGTGGGATCCTACACTTGATTTATTGTTTTGCTATTACCATCTTGAAATTCCTAACAATTGTTTTCAAACAAAGGAGCCCTGCATTTTCATTCTTCACTGAACCACAAAAATTGCTTAACAAGTCTTGTCAAGGTAGCTAACCCATTTGCTTACCATCAGTGAGCCTCCTTCTCCCTGGTTTTAGGTTGATTTAGCCGAAGAGAGGCACTGGCAAGAAACAAAAGGGTGGGAAGACAGTAAGGGTGGAGGATTAATTGCTCCACAAAAGGCACAGCCCATGTTGAATCCTTCTCATAATGCTGCCTTTTCCAGGTTTTGGTAACTGCTTTCTACCTTCCTCTTCTTCAAGATGTCTCCCCATTATTACCACCCCATTACTTGACTGGCATTGTGGGACTCCTTAAATCTTGTCCATGTCTTTCTATGTAGTTCCTTTATCAAATTCTCTTCAAAGTATCCAGTTTGAATGAGCCATCTGTTTTCTGCAGGGACCCTGACTGACAAACACAATTACCCATGCATCTTCTGATTTTGTGGCACAGTAGAAATCAGCTCAGGACAGTGGGGTAGGAGCTGGCTGAGGGAAAACAAGGAACACTTAGTTTCACATGAAGGCACCAAAGGAAACTAGCTCTAGGACCTTGCTCCTAATGTCTTCTCCACAAAGCTTGAATCAGCTTACACGCCTACCATCTATATACTTGCATACTTGTTTCACTGAATCTTTACTTTTACTAGATTTTATAATGCCCCACCCCCATCTCTGATTCTTAAAGGAAAATGTGCCCAGAATTGGTTTGGAGTGATGCCTGACTGTGAGAGAGAAGAGAGGGGAGGAGAGTGGAGTTGTGGTAGATATCTTTGTTAACTATACATATTACTTTAAATTCCTAAGCCTATTAGTTGAGTTTCTGACAAATACCTACATAATTACTTTCTGAAGCAAGCTCTGGAGGTTTAGAATAAAGATCTTAGTTCTGTGAATTCTCTGACATTAAAAATGAATATGAGAGAAAGTGCTTGTCAAGGAAAAAAGTGAGGTGTTAACATTTACTCTACATTTCACTTTCAATTTGTATGTTTAAAGGTTCTTTTTTTTTATATTAAGTTGTTTAAATCTCCCGATTATTTTTATTCATCACTTGAAAATAAAAAAAGATATTCCTTAAAGTTCCATTTTATTATGTTTCAAATACCTATTACAGAATTTTTCTTTAAAGGCAGAGAAGGTAAACTTCTAGAAATACTTCCATTGGGTAATAATAGCATCTATAAAATAGGGATCCAAATTTCAGAAATGCACAGTTTGTGTTCTTACTCTCAGAGTGGTAATAATACATTGGTTCATTGGTGTTGATTTAAAGTGTATATGAGAGCTAGGGTTTTCAATTAGGAGGTGATATATTATAGAACGAGAGTAACTGAAGATTTTTAGCCCAAAGGAAAATGAGAAATAATCACATGTAGAGCCTCAAACACTGAACATTCATTTTATTTTATAAAAGAAAGAAAACACTATCCTGCTTTAAATATCTATCAATAGCAACATGAAATAGACTAAGAAAAGAAATAAATCTCTGTTGAAAGGGTTAAGATACTTCTCCAAGACACATAACTGTCAGATTCACCAAAGTTGAAATGAAGGAAAAAATGTTAAGGGCAGCCAGAGAGAAAGGTCGGGTTACCCTCAAAGGGAAGCCCATCAGATTAACAGCGGATCTCTCGGCAGAAACCCTACAAGTCAGAAAAGAGTGGGGGCCAATATTCAACATTCTTAAAGAAAAGAATTTTCAACCCAGAATTTCATATCCTGCCAAACTAAGCTTCATAAGCGAAGGAGAAATAAAATCCTTTACAGAGAAGCAAATGCTGAGAGATGTTGTCACCACCAGGCCTGCCCTAAAAGAGCTCCTGAAGGAAGCACTAAACATGGAAAGGAACAACCAGTACCAGCTGCTGCAAAATCATGCCAAAATGTAAAGACCATCAAGACTAGGAAGAAACTGCATCAACTAATGATCAAAATAACCAGCTAACATCATAATGACAGGATCAAATTCACACATAGCAATATTAACTTTAAATGTAAATGGACTAAATGCTCCAATTAAAAGACACAGACTGGCAAATTGGATAAAGAGTCAAGACCCATCAGTGTGCTGTATTCAGGAAACCCATCTAACGTGCAGAGACACACATAGGCTCAAAATAAAAGGATGGAGGAAGATCTACCAAGCAAATGGAAAACAAAAAAAGGCAGGGGTTGCAATCCTAGTCTCTGATAAAACAGACTTTAAACAAACAAAGATCAAAAGAGACAATGAAGGCCATTACCTAATGCTAAAGGGATCAATTCAACAAGAAGAGCTAACTATCCTAAATATATATGCACCCAATACAGGAGCACCAAGATTCATAAAGCAAGTCCTGAGTTACCTACAAAGAGACTTAGACTCCCACACATTAATAATGGGAAACATTAACACCCCACTGTCAACATTGGACAGATCAATGAGACAGAAAGTCAAAAAGGCTACCCAGGAATTGAACTCAGCTCTGCACCAAGAGGACCTAATAGACATCTACAGACCTCTCCACCCCAAATCAACAGAATATACATTTTTTTCAGCACCACACCACACCTATTCCAAAATTGACCACATACTGGGAAGTAAAGCTCTCCTTAGCAAATGTAAAAGAACAGAAATTATAACAAACTATCTCTCAGACCACAGTGCAATCAAACTAGAACTCAGGATTAAGAATCTCACTCAAAACCGCTCAACTACCTGGAAACTGAACAACCTGCTCCTGAATGACTATTGGGTACATAACGAAATGAAGGCAGAAATAATGATGTTCTTTGAAACCAATGAGAACAAAGACACAACATACCAGAATCTCTGGGACACATTCAAAGCAGTGTGTAGAGGGAAATTTATAGCACTAAATGCCCACAAGAGAGAGCAGGAAAGATCCAAAATTGACACCCTAACATCACAATTAAAAGAACTAGAAAAGCAAGAGCAAACACATTCAAAAGCTAGCAGAAGGCAAGAAATAACTAAAATCAGAGCAGAATTGAAGGAGATAGAGACACAAAAAACCCTTCAAAAAATTAATGAATCCAGGAGCTGGTTTTTTGAAAGGATCAACAAAATTGATAGACTGCTAGCAAGACTAATAAAGAAAAAAAGAGAGAAGAATCTAATAGACACAATAAAAATGATAAAGGGGATATCACCACTGATCCCACAGAAATACAAACTACCATCAGAGAATACTACAAACACCTCTACGCAAATAAACTAGAAAATCTAGAAGAAATGGATAAATTCCTGGACACATACACTCTCCCAAGACTAAACCAGGAAGAAGTTGAATCTCTGAATAGACCAATAACAGGATCTCAAATTGTGGCAATAATCAATACCTTACCAACCAAAAAGAGTCCAGGACAAGATGGATTCACAGCTGAATTCTAGCAGAGGTACAAGGAGGAACTGGAACCATTCCTTCTGAAACTATTCCAATCAAGAGAAAAAGAGGAAATCCTCCCTAACTCATTTTATGAGGCCAGCATCATTCTGATACCAAAGACAGGCAGAGACACAACAAAAAAAGAGAACTTTAGACCCATATCCTTGATGAACATTGATGCAAAAATCCTCAATAAAATACTGGCAAAACGAATCCAGCAGCATATCAAAAAGCTTATCCACCATGATCAAGGGGGCTTCATCCCTGGGATGCAAGGCTGGTTCAATATACGCAAATCAATAAATGAAATCCAGCATATAAACAGAACCAAAGACAAAAACCACATGATTCTCTCAATAGATGTAGAAAAGGCTTTTGACAAAATTCAACAAACCTTCATGCTAAAAACTCTCAATAAATTAGGTATTGATGGGATGTATTTCAAAATAATAAGAGCTATCTATGACAAACCCACAGCCAATATCATACTGAATGGGCAAAAACTGGAAGCATTCCCTTTGAAAACTGGCACAAGACTGGGATGCCCTCTCTCACCACCCTTGTTCAACACAGTGTTGGAAGTTCTGGCCGGGGCAATCAGGCAGGAGAAGGAAATAAATGGTATTCAATCAGGAAAAGAGGAAGTCAAATTGTCCCTGTTTGCAGATGACATGATTGTATATCTAGAAAACCCCATCATCTCAGCCCAAAATCTCCTTAAGCTGATAAGCAACTTCAGCAAAGTCTCAGGATACAAAATCAATGTACAAAAATCACAAGCATTCTTATACACCAGCAACAGACAAACAGAGAGCCAAATCACGAGTGAACTCCCATTCACAATTGCTTCAAAGAGAATAAAATACCTAGGAATCCAACTTACAAGGGATGTGAAGGACATCTTCAAGGAGAACTACAAAACACTGCTCAATGAAATAAAAGAGGATACAAAGAAATGGAAGAACATTCCATGCTCATGGGTAGGAAGAATCAATATCGTGAAAATGGCAATACTGCCCAAGGTAATTTATAGATTCAATGCCATCCCCATCAAGCTACCAATGCCTTTCTTCACAGAATTGGAAAAAACTACTTTAAAGTTCATATGGAATGAAAGAAGAGCCTGCATTGCAAAGTCAATCCTAAGCCAAAAGAACAAAGCTGGAGGCATCATGCTACCTGACTTCAAACTATAATACAAGGCTACAGTAACCAAAACAGCATGGCACTGGTACTAAAACAGAGATATAGATCAATGGAACAGAACAGAGCCCTCAGAAATAACGCCATATATCTACAACTATCTGATCTTTGACAAATCTGAGAGAAACAAGCAATGTGGAAAGGATTCCCTATTTAATAAATGGTGCTGGGAAAACTGGCTAGCCATATGTAAAAAGCTGAAACTGGATCCCTTCTTACACCTTATACAAAAATCAATTCAAGATGGATTAAAGACTTAAATGTTAGACCTAAAACCATAAAAACCCTAGAAGAAAACCTAGGCATTACCATTCAGGACATAGGCATGGGCAAGGACTTCATGTCTAAAACACCAAAAGCAATGACAACAAAAGCCAAAATTGACAAATCGGATCTAATTAAACTAAAGAGCTTCTGCACAGCAAAAGAAAGCACCATCAGAGTGAACAGGCAACCTACAAAATGGGAGAAAATTTTCGCAACCTACTCATCTGACAAAGGGCTAATATCCAGAATCTACAATGAACTCAAAGAAATTTACAAGAAAAAAACAAACAACCCCTTCAAAAAGTGGGCAAAGGACATGAACAGACACTTCTCAAAAGAAGACATATATGCAGCCAAAAAACACATGAAAAAATGGTCACCATCACTAGCCATCAGAGAAATGCAAATCAAAACCACAATGAGATACCATCTCCCACCAGTTAGAATGGCAATCATTAAAAAGTCAGAAAACAACAGGTGCTGGAGAGGATGTGGAGAAATAGGAACACTTTTACACTGTTGGTGGGACTGTAAACTAGTTCAACCATTGTGGAAGGCAGTGTGGCGATTCCTCAGGGATCTAGAACTGGAAATACCATTTGACCCAGCCATCCCATTACTGGGTATATACCCAAAGTACTATAAATCATGCTGCTATAAAGACACATGCACACGTATGTTTATTGCGGCATTATTCACAATAGCAAAGACTTGGAATCAACCCAAATATCCAACAATGATAGACTGGATTAAGAAAATGTGGCACATATACACCATGGAATACTATGCAGCCATAAAAATGTTGAGTTCATGTCCTTTGTAGGGACATGGATGAAATTGGAAAACATCATTCTCAGTAAACTATCGCAAGACAAAAAACCAAACACCGCATATTCTCACTCATAGGTGGGAATTGAACAATGAGATCACATGGACACAGGAAGGGGAATATCACACTCTGGGGACTGTTGTGGGGTGGGGGGAGGGGGAGGGATAGCATTGGGAGATATACCTAATGGTAGATGATGAGTTAGTGTGTGCAGTGCACCAGCATGCACATGTATACATATGTAACTAACCTGCACAATTTGCACATGTGCCCTAAAACTTAAAGTATAATAATAAAAAAAAAACAGAAAAAAAATAAATAAATCATAATGGAAGATAAATTTAATTTTCTTTTCTATCTATCCTCACTTCCTTTGTGATCTCACCCAGGCTATGGTTTTAAATACCTCTATATGCTGAAACTCACACATTTCCATCTCTCTTCAGAACTCCTGACTTGTATTTATACTCCAACTTAATATCTTCCCTTGGATGTTAAATTTAATCCCTAGAGCTCAGTTCCTGATCTACGCTCCAGAACTGGCCTACATACATCCTTATCTTTCTGAGTTAATGGTGCTGCAGTTGATCAGGCCAAATCCAGGAGATATCCTTATTATTTTTTCTCAGATCTTATATCTAATATTTTAGGAATTCCTATTAATATATACCTCAAACTCCAAATATCTTTTGCCACCTCTACTGCTACTCCCCTGGTTTAAGCCACCAGCACCTGTCTCCTTGACTATAGCAACGGTCTCTTACCTATTTTCATATCTGTTCTCCTTGCATTGCCTTTGCTTTTCCTCTGTTGATTCTCAACACAACAGAAAGAGGAATCACTAGAAATATAAGTAAGATTATGCCACTTTTCTGCTCAAAACCCTGAAATCACTTCCCACTGCATAGAGGGTAAAAGCCAAAGTTTATGAGGCCTTGTGTTATCTGAGTCTCTACTTTGACCATGTCCTACTACCTCCTCCCCTTATGACTGATCAAATACACTGGATCATGCCCTTTTCCTACTCCCCTCCCTTCCATTCCCAATCCTCTTTACCTTGCTCCATTTTTTCCTTATTCCAAAGCACCTACCACTTTTTAATACACAGTTTAATTTACTTATTTATTGTGTTTATTATTTATTTCCTGCCCTTCACTGCTAGAATGTAAGTCTCATGAGAGCAGGGAACTTTCTGTGTTTTGTTTGCTGATTTAGCCCCTGTGCCTAAAATAGTGCCTGCCCTGTAGTAGCCAGTCAATACTTGTTAAGTGATTGAAAGGTTTGCTTATGTACTCCCCTTTTTTAAAACTGTCTATTTGAAGGGCTCTCTCGAAAGGTGATTTCATGCCCAATCTATTTACAGATTGATAAAACAAGTTTTATATAGGTACTAGGTCTTTTGAGCTGAGGGAGTGTGAAGATTTGCAGGTATGTACTAGATAGATTGTTGAGTCAGTGATTCAGGGATAAACTGAAAATATCAGGGTTCTTGGCAAGATATCAGTTAACCAAATCTAAGAATAGGTTTGTCTTTAGAGGGAATTTTATTGATAAAATGACTTTCCATGGTACCAACATACATTAAAACAAGTAACAAAAATAACTTTTTCAAGTAAACTGAAAAAGATTTTGGGAGCCATGTAAATGGCTGTTGATAATTTGGAAATTTAGTATTATATCACATATATTTAAGCAAGTTTACATGTACTATACATTTGATTAATCCATTAATTTCTAATTTCTATCTTAAGATCATTTCTATAATCAGGTATTTATTCAATTTCCCTACATAATACCTAGAAATGATCTCTTTTTTTTCCATTTCAGAGATTTAAAAAATTTACAAGAAGATAGGTTAAATAGTTAATCCAGGCTGTCATTCAATTAGTAATAAGACTGAAATTAAAACACATCTATCTTGATTTTCTTACCAGATCTGTGTCTAGTGTGATCATATCTCTGAATACTAACTTTATTTCTTTTTGGAAAATGCTTACACAGCCAGATTAAGTGGAAGAAGTATGACAGCATTTTTCAGCTTTAATAAACTGAATCGGAATGTTCCTAACCTGATCCTGATCAACTAGATACAGCAGAAGCAAGTGCCTATCTTCTCTCTTGACCTCACTGGGGGAAGCTTTTCCTTATTTCAGAATCTTAGAAGAAATATTCATGTGGGTTGACTGTAGCAGAAATGTGAATAACAATATAACTCAACTGGGAAAAGTGCAGATCTATAAATCTCTACATTTCTCTGGACTTACTCACTTGGGTGATTTCATTTGAAGGTCACCAAAGAGTTCAAAAATACAGTTGACAGCATAAAGTGATAAGATTGTCCTTTCAGTCTCAAAACTCTTTGCAACTTATTTTGTTGAATCTTGGTGCTAGATGCCAACATCAAGGCAGGGCACATGGCATTTTCTTCACAAAGATGTGATTACACCAAAAGCAGTATAATCAATATGTAATCACTGTTACTTTCCACAATAGAAATAACTGATTGACAAAACAATGGGTCAAATCACCGTCAATTTTATTGCCATAGGAGGCTCTTTTCTCAAATTACAATATAAATTATTGCTCTATACCCTTTCATTAAATGTAGTTTTTTATTTCACCATTATAGAAAATTCTATGCTTGAATTCCCTATAAAGTCATATAAGGTTATTAACTACAGGGGCTTTGAGCTTGATGTTTGGGTACTTTAATTGTCACTGTAATTGATTTTACCTTTGACTTGCTGTAGTGATTGCCTTGTAATTTGTTGATGATTAATGACCATCCTCTGGGTATTGCTGCTCAGCTGGCCAGAAATAGAGCAATTGGTTTTTCTTGGCTCTTACTTCTCAAAAAAGATTTTAAAAATCACTGAGGGGGCCTATGTAAAAAGGTTTTATACCCTCTGTGGTTTAACTGTATTGTGGGAAAAATCAGGGCACAAAATTAAGTGTATGTTTGGTTAATTTTATCTTTATGTCCTTAAGATACATTCAAAACTTTCTGCTTTTAGCATTTTGATGAATGAATAAATTTTAGAAAATAGAGGGTTTTGAAGATTAGGAGAAGTTAGGGTATTTGAATTACTATGAAAATTTTCTAAGTAAAATTCCCCAAAAAGAGTTATCATTGTTACTAATGGAATTGTTAGGATCTAATAATATAAATTGTTGATCAAAACACCAGGATAAAAGGGAAAATGGCAATAGGTTATAGGGATCTGACAGTAAGAATTCTTCAGAAGTGATGAATGACTCAGGATTTTAAATATAAAAACCTGAGTTGATACTATAAAAAGCATTTTGCCAAATCCGAAGAGACAAAGAATTATGTAGACATGACTTTTGTCTATCTCTTCTCAATGTGTACAATCACCAAGAAATTATAATCTAGGAAAAAAATTAAGTGGCATAAAAGAAGTAAAAATGTATAGCATATACATAAAGATTCAAGGAAAACTTAAATTGTCCACAGCATCTTTCTTTTTTAAAAAAGAAAATGCACATGGACTGTAATACATAAATATTTTGAAGCTCTTGGGAAAAGTTTTAGATACTTCATTCACAACACTAAATGAATACAATCCTTAGGTGTGGTTATATCACTGGTAATAGGGAGAGAAAATAATCACCGAGAAATACATTCAATCTAATTTTAAAATTGGTCTAATTTAGTTCTATTCTGAACATAATAATAAACTATTGACATTTAAAGTATCTCAAGCTAATGTATATATTCGCATGTAATTGATTTTAGAACATCAATTCTTAACAGCAACATGTCTTTGGCATGAATATTACATTTGTTTTATTATGCTGAATGTAGTTATAACCTTGCCAATAGTTTCTAAAAATTAAATTAATAAGAAAATAAATTGTAAGTTCAGCATACGGATCCATTTCTTGAATTCACAAAATAAGCTAGCAATTTCTGGGTGTTTTTCTAATTAGAAAAAGAAAATTTGTTCTAAGCAAATGGGAGGGCTGTTCCCTGAACTAAGAATTCTGCCCCTGATTTTAAATATTTTCAGGACCTCTACACATGATTCTACACATTCCTAATGGGCTGTGTTTCTAGAAAAAAAATTAATTGTTTAAAATATTAAGTGTATTTTCCAATAAATAAAATATTTTACATTATGATTGCATTTTCAGGACAAATAAAATCTTTTAAACTCCAAATTCCTAATGGTCTATCTAAATAGTATAAGACTTTAATCATTGAATAATGATAAATGATATTTCAAAAGGAAGAATGTGTTTGGAGTTCTCCCCTCAGATAGCAGAAGCACACACACCTTTCCCACTCTACACCTGCCAAGAGATCCCAAGAAGTTACCATGGGTAACTTCTGTGATCTCCAGGAAGGTGACTGCAGGGAAATAAATGGAGGGAATTAGATTCTATGCAGGCTCTCGTCTCAGAAATCCTCCTTGCTTTCTACTTCTGCCATTACCTATTTCTCCAGTGAATAATTTAATCTTCTTTACCTTAACCAGACTACCAAAAACAGTTGCATGGCTTCTCCTCTACCATTTTATCTGCTAAGCAAGCACAGGGTTCTTCAACAGTTTTTTTGTGGACTCCAGAGATTGTATAATAGCAGTTCTGTAAGTCTTCAGAGGAAAGAGAATTTATCTCTTATTATCTGAATGCCTTTGTGCAGTTTACGTAAAATATTTGGCTTTGGTTCTACGTTAAAACAGTGATCATGATGTACATCTTGTGGTTCTTTGAGAAGAAAGTAGTGGATATAAAGCAAAACCTGGAATTTAAACTATTCTAGGTCTAGCTAATAGTTTAGGCATAATGAGGTTGATCATTTTGCTATATTTTTCACTATGTTTTACTTAAAACTTGTAGCAAAAGGGAAAGTTGTGCAGGTGATTGTTCTTTATGTAGACGAAGAACTGAAGTATTGAATACATTTCAAAGGTTGCCCATCAAGGTCTTTTAAATAAGAAATATAACTGGGTATCAGATCAGATACTAAGAGAACTGAATCTCTTTGATAATGCTGGCTGGTGAAATGGTGGGAGGATTTGGAATCCTGATTATGAACCCCAATACCCTTCTTTCTTTCTGTCACTTGCAGTCTCTTGTCATCACAGACCACATCTAGAATCATGGTCAATCCCTGGATAATTTCAGAATGAGGAATTATGGCTCACTGATTTATTCAACCACTATTTATTCCTTAATCACCAACTGCCAGGCATCTATTGCAAAAATATAACTCCCCATGCCCCCCGAAAAAAACAGTCTATTTCTTCAAAAAGCTTACACTCCAATGGGCTTACAGATACAGATCAAACAATCTACAAGCACATGTGAAATAACAACTGTTACCTATGCTGTGAGATTAAGGCCCACACAATTCATTGACTGATTATCAGGGAATTTGAACTAGTCATGGAAGTCAGGAAAGACTTCCTGCAGAAAGTGATGATTAGTTTTATAGCCAAAGAAGTTAGCTCTTAAATAAAAAGGGAAGAAAAGTGCATTCTAAGCAGGAGGGAAAGCTGCTAAAAATTCAAACCAAAGAAACAAATAAAAAATTTGGGCCAGGTGCGGTGGCTCATGCCTGTAATCCCAGCACTTTGGGAGGCCAAGGCAGGCGGATCATGAGGTCAGGAGATCGAGACCATCCTGGCTAACACCGTGAAACCCCGTCTCTACTAAAAATACAAAAAAAAAAAAAAAAAAAAATTAGCAGGGTGCGGTGGCGGGCGCCTATAGTCCCAGCTACTTGGGAGGCTGAGGCAGGAGAATGGCGTGAACCCGGGAGGCAGAGCTTGCAGTGAGCCGAGATCATGCCACTGCACTTCAGCCTGGGCTACAGGGCAAGACTCCGTCTCAAAAAAAAAAAAAAAAAAAAAAAATTGTTCATGCAAACATGAACCATGTGAAGAATTTTATCTAAAGAGCAATAGGAAGCTTGGCAAGAGTTGGGGAGGACACATGGGGAAATCAAGGTAACATGATCTGATACCCCTCCAGTTTGAAAAGCCCATTCTGATGAAAATATAAGATTATGGATTGGAAGGGACTTTAGAGGCTGCGGCAGACCCATCAGGGACCATTGAGGCAGCCCAGGTAGGAAATGATACCATAAACAAGGTTGTAGTTGATGTACATGTAGAGAAATGGATGAATTGAGAATATTTAATGGTAAAATAAGTAAGAATTGGTGACGTATTAGAAGAAAGTGGCAGGGATTTACCCTCAATACTGGAAATTGGGGAAAAAAATCTTAGTCCAGTATAGCAGAAAGAGAAAAAGTGTTCTCATAATTAACAGTAGTTGGCAGTGGTAGGTGGTGAGGAGTGGTGGCAGGCTTCCAGACAGCTCTTCATTTGATCCAAGTATAGAATTACTGTAATTTATGTTGGCTGCAAACTTATTTTTATAAATGCTGATTCATTTCTTACTTTCTTCTTTATTTCTTCTCCTTTTAACCCTTCACTTAAAGAAAATATAAGAAATGACTTTTTTCCCGTTTGGAGGTAATTAGTAGAAAGAATCGAATATGTTTCTGATGTTTTTGTTAATGATCTTCAATAAGTCTGAATGGTTCATATTCACAATTATCTTTCAAAACATTGCTATCTATGCTGTACACTTTCTAAAAGTATGATTATTTATACAATATACTTGATATACAATATACATTATTTATACAATATACTTGATATATTTAGTTAGTGTTTAGCTTTGAACATTGTTTGTTGACGCAGTTTTCTGTGATTAGTTGAACAACAAAGAGTGGATTGTTAAGGTAGGCTAAGGGCTACTAAAAAACCCCCTCCAAATCCCTGTTACTTAACAATGGATAAAAGGTAAATGTATTAGTTAATTCTTTGCTCCAGTTCCCAATCAGTTTCTTATTTCCATCTGAGACCTCCTCATCCTGGACTTCACTGTCCATATCACTATCAGCATTTTGTTCACAACAATTAAACAGCCTCTAGGAAGTTTCAAACTTTCCCTCATCTTCCTCTCTTCTTCTGAGCCCTCCAGACTCTTCCAACCTCTGCCCATTACCTAGTTCCAAAGTTGCTTCCACATTTTTAGATATTTTTGTAGCAATATCCTACTCTTGGTACCAATTTCCTGTATTAATCTGTTCTCTGATTGCTATAAAGAACTACCAAAAACTGATTATCTTACTAAGAAGGGATGTTTAATTGACTCATGATTTTGCAGGTTGTACAGGAAGGGTGACTGGGGAAGGCTCAGAAAACTTACAATCATGGCAGAAGGCAAAGAGGAAGCAGGTACATCTTACATGGCCTGAGCAGGAGGAAGAAAGAGGAGGAGGTGCTACACATTTTTAAACAACCAGATCTTGTGAGAACTCACTCACTATCATGAGTGCAGCAAGGGGAAAATCTGCCCCCATGATCCAGTCACCTCCCACCAGGCCCCTCCTCCAACACTGGGGATTACAATTCAACATGAGATTTGGGCAGGGACACATATTGAAACCATATCAATAGATGTTGTCTTATTTCACAGTCTAATACAAATAAGTCAGGGCGAAGGGGGTCTGTTTCACTCATTCATGGAGCTAGACTACTTCCATCCAGTAGCCATTTTATCTATTTTATAAAGCTTGGGAGTCCTCATCTGATTCTTCCACCTCTATCAGGCAGGCAATGGAAGACACAGAATACAGAGAATTGAATAGGAGGTTTTAAGAGTACTTTCCTTTGGCCAGAGTTTAGTCACAAATCTAATCTAACTGCAGGAGAAGCTGGAAATATAATCTAGCTGTTTTTCCAGGAGGAAAAAGAAATGACTTTTGGTAATACAGTTGCCTCTTGAATAACACAGGGGTTAGGGGGACTGACCTCCCGGGCAGTCAAAAATTCACATAAAACTTTTGACTCTCCGAAAACTTAACTACTAATAGCCTACTGTAGATTGGAAGCCTTACCCATAATATAAACTGTCAATTAACACATATTTTGTCAGTTATATGTAATAAATACTGTTTATCTATAATAAAGTAAGCTGGAGAAAAAATGTTACAGAGAAAATCATAAGAAAGAAAAAATGTATCTACTAGTCATTAAGTGGAAGTGGATCATTATAAAGGTCTTCATCTTTGTTACCTTCATGTGGAGTACACTGAGAAGGAGGAGAAAGAGGAGGGGTTGGCCTTGCTGTCTCAGGAGTGGCAGAGGCAGGAGAGGTGGAGGAGGTGGAATAGAAAGCATGAAAGTCAGGAACACTCGGTGTAACTTTATGGAAATACATGGTAATTTATGCCTGACTTAAGCTTTTTCATTTATCTAAAAATGTTTCTATACAATATAGATCCTCCTTCCACCATTTGCTTCAGTTTTGATGCCCATATCATAGAAGAGTCCATGTTATACAATAAATCAAAAGTAGTCTTAAATAATAAGAATCCTTCTGCCAGATTGCCCAAGTCATCTTCTGTTAATTCATCTGATGTGGTGCCTATTAGTTCTTGAATTTCTCCAAAATGCTTATCTAGAAATCGTTCACCTAACCACTTTTTGTTTTTTTCTATATCCACAATCTCTGTCATGATCTCTTCGATTGGCTGTTTCAAAAATCCTATGAAGTCATGCACAACATCTGGACACAGTATTCTCCAGTAAAAATTCGTTGCTTCAGGACTGATAACTTTCACAATCGTGAAATCACTTTCACATCATTGTTTCACGAACAATGATGGTGCACCTTCAATGGCATAATTCTTCCAGATTTTCATGATGTTCTCTCTATTGGGGTTCTCTTTTTATAGTGGTGATAATCCTTTTCATAGGGAGCCATGGGTAATGAGCCTTAAAGGTTCTATGACTCCCTGATCTAGAGGCTGAATTAGAGACATTGTGTTTGCAGGCAAGTAGACCACTTTGATGCCTTCGGTGTTGAACTCATGGCACTCTGGGTAGCCAGGAGGCATTGTCTAATATCAAAAGACCTTTGAAAGGTAATTACTGGCAATGTACTTTTTGACTTAAGGGACAAAGCATCAATGGAGCCAATCCAGAAGAATGCCGCGTGTTGTCCAGGTCTTCTTGTTGTACAACTAAAAGACTGGCAGCTAGTGTTTATCTTTTCCCTTCAATATGTGAGGGCTGGCAGCTTTACAGATAAGGGCAGGCCTGATCATAAGCCTAACTGCATTTGCAAAACAGTAGAGTTAGCCTTAAATCATGCCTTAAATACTGGTACTTGCTTCTCTTTCTTACTAATAAATGCCCTATAGGGCACTTTTATCTGAATTAAAAATCTATTCAGGCAGGTATCCTTTCTCCTCAATGATTTTCTTACCGGTTTTCTGAGAACTTGTCTGCTGCCTTTTGGTCAGCAGAAGCTGCTTCTCATGTTAACATTTTTTAAGCCAACTTCTTCCCCAAATAATCAAACCATCAAAATATTAACATCTAAGCTGAGATATACTCAATGTAAAATACATACAAATTTGGAAGACTTAGAACAAAGTATGAAATATCTCAGTAATTTTTATTTTGATATGTTATATTACATTTGCTATATTAGGTTGAATATATTATTAAAATTTATTCACTTATTTTTTATTTTTCTTAAAGTCAATACTGGAACACTTTCAATTATATATGTGGCTTGGCTTGCATTATATTTCCATTGGACTTCAGTATTAGGAACCAACCTTATAAAAAACGATGTATAACAAATAAAATATTAGTAAATTGGATTTAGCATTGTCCAATAATACATCATTATTGTTTATTATAGGTACTCAACGATAGTTCAATTAAAAAAATTTATTACATTAATAGATTAAAGTTTATGTAATATTTATGTTTGTTTGTCTTGTTTTATCCTTATCACATAACTTTTCTTCTTTCCCAGGTAGTAACATAAGTTAACGAGATGTGTAGTGTCCAGTAATTTTCTCCATAACTTATACACCATTTTACACACATATAGAGAGAGTGAACATGAATATATTTTCGTCATTTCTTTACTTTGTAAAAATGAGATTATATTATATTTGTTTCTCCTCTTCTCACATTTTTTTTACTTATCAAATCCTCATGGAAACCTCTCTAGGCAATTTTGGCAACTATTATTCTAGTATTTGTATTATATTGCATGTGGAAAAAGATAAAATTTACATAAACGTTTATTTAACTTGTATTCAGTTGAGAATTTAATTTATTTTAATTTTTTTGCCACTAGGGCAATATTCAAATGGGAATAGTAACAGCTCCAGTCTACAGCTACCAGTGTGAGCGATGCAGAAGATGGGTGATTTCTGCATTTCAAACTAAGGTACTGGGTTCATCTCACTGGGGCTTGTCAGACAGTGGGGGCAGGACAGTGGGTGCAGCGCACTGAGCATGAGCTGAAGCAAAGTGAGGTATCACCTCACCTGGGAAGCACAAGCGGTCAGGGAATTCCCTTTCCTAGCCAAGGGAAGCGGTGACAGATGGCACCTGGAAAATTGGGTCACTCCCACCCTAATACTGTGCTTTTCCAATGGTCTTAGCAAATGGCACACCAGGAGATTATATCCGGCGCCTGGCTCGGAGGGTCCCACACCCATGGAGCCTCACTCATTGCTAGCACAGCAGCAGTCTGAGATCAAACTGCAAGGTGGCAGCGAGGCTGGGGGAGGGGCGCTGGCCATTGCTGAGGCTTGAGTAGGTAAACAAATTGGCCAGGAAGCTCTAACTGGGTGGAGCCCACCACAGCTCAAGGAGGCCTGCCTGCCTCTGTAGACTCCACCTCTGGGGGCAGGGCATAGCTGAACAAAAGGCAGCAGAAACCTCTGCAGACTTAAATGTCCCTGTCTGACAGCTTTGAAGTGAGTAGTTGTTCTCCCAGCACCGAGTTTGAGATCTGAGAATGGACAGACTGCCCCCTCAAGTGGGCCCCTGACCCCCGAGTAGCCTAAGTAGAAGGCACCCTCTGGTAGGGGCAGACTGACACTACACATGGCTGGGCACCCCTCTGAGACAAAGCTTCCAGAGGAATGATCAGGCAGCAACATTTGCTGTTCACCAATATCCACTGTTCTGCAGCCTCCAATGCTGATGCCCAGGCAAACAGGGTGTGGAGTGGACCTCCAGCAAACTCCAACAGACCTGCAGCTGAGGGTCCTGAAAGTTAGAAGGAAAACTAACAAACAGAAAGGACATCCACACCAAAACCCCATCTGTACGTCACCATCATCAAAGACCAAAGGTAGATAAAAACACAAAGATGGGGAAAAACAGAGCGGAAAAGCTGAAAATTCTAAAAATCAGAGCACCTCTCCCCCTCCAATGGAATGCAGCTCTTCACCAGCAATGGAAAAAAGCTGGATGGAGAATGACTTTGACGAGTTGAGAGAAGAAGGCTTCAGACGATCAAACTTCTCCGAGCTAAAGGAGGAAGCTCAAACCCATTGCAAAGAAGTTAAAAACCTTGAAAAAAGATTAGACGAATGGCTGATTAGAATAACCAGTGTAGAGAAGTCCTTAAATGACCTGATGGAGCTGAAAAACATGGCACGAGAACTATGTGATGAATACACAAGCTTCAGTAGCCAATTCGATCAACTGGAAGAAAGGGTATCAGTGATTGAAGATCAAATGAATGAAATGAAGTGAGAAGAGAAGTTTAGAGAGAAAAGAGTAAAAAGAAACGAATAAAGACTCCAAGAAATATGGGACTATGTGAAAAGACCAAATCTACATCAGATTGGTGTACCTGAAAGTGACGGGGAGAATGGAACCAAGTTGGAAAATACTGTGCAGGATATTATCCAGGAGAACTTCCCCAATCTAGCAAGGCAGGCCAACATTCAAATTCAGGAAATACAGAGAACACCAGAAAGATACTCCTTGAGAAGAGCAACTCCAAGACACATTATTGTCAGATTCACCAAAGTTGAAATGAAGGAAAAAATGTTAAGGGCAGCCAGAAAGGTCGGATTACCCACAAAGGGTAATACATCAGACTAACAGAAGATCTCTCAGCAGAAACTCCACAAGCTAGAAGAGAGTGGGGGCCAATATCCAACATTCTTAAAGAAAAGAATTTTCAACCCAGAATTTCATATCCAGCCAAACTAAGCTTCATAAGTGAAGGAGAAATAAAATCCTTTACAGACAAGCAAATGCTGAGAGATTTTGTCGCCACCAGGCCTGCCCTACAAGAGCTCCTGAAGGAATATATAAAGTATATACTAGGCGTGTCAGATGTCTAGACTAAAGTGGTATCATTGCATCAAAATTTAAAATTATAATAGATGTTTCCAAAAGGACAGACGTAATGTACATTCTTACCATCAATTAAAATGTATATTTTCCTGCACCATCAGTAACAGTAATAGGTAATATAATTATATAAGAAATTCACTGGGATAAATTAGAAGAGAGTGGCCAATTCTGCACAATGTGAGGAGAATATCAGAATTTTTTAGAGAAGGAAGGCTTAAGGTGAGTCTGAAATGATAATTTTATATATTTATATTTCTCAACATATAAAATGATGTAACATTTTGTACATAATGAGTAGCTGCTTTTATACAGTATAGAATATGGCAAGTAAGACTTTTTATTTTTAGGAAAAATAAATTGCCATCCTATAACTAGATCTATAGAACTCATTCTTTCTTAATCATTAATTTGTAGGGCAAAGTTTCAATTATAGGAACATGGGATTTTTTTTTTCCCAAAAGGATTTTTTTGAGGTTTCTATTCTAATGTTAATTCATGTTTATTACAAAAAGATGTCATGCAATATAGAATTCTATAAAGTAGAAACTAGTGTCTACATTATTGTAACTGTGATGCCATTGATTTGCTATCAATATGGCTCATCCCCTTTCCTCATAATTCTTGTTTTTCTAGAATTTCCTGGTTCCTCTAGAAGAACTTCAGAATTAAATTCATTAAGTTTATAAAAAGTTCAAATGAAATTTTAGATTAAATTAATTACACTTAATTTGTAGATTGTATAGAATTGACAGCTTCATAATACTGAGTCTTTCTTTCTGGGTACATGATGTATCTTTTCATTTATTCATCATTATCGAGCTTTTAAAACTTATTTGAGCCTCTTTGGGAGGATGGGATAGGGAGCAGTAGATGATTCAGCTCAAGCAGAACAGATTCTCTTTCAGGCTTTGAATCTTTCTTTGTAGTTCATTCCATACAGAGCTAAGCTCATAAAACGATAGGAAGTTTCTCAATACTATAAGACAAGAGGGAGCACTTACCATTTAAAAACATCTTTAAGCCATGAAAAACATTTGTTAAATTTAGTTGTTGACATTTTTAGGTTGATTTTACCTAGGCTATGAAATCTAACTCTGAAAGCTTCCTTGGATAAGCTTAAGAAAATGTTGAAAAATGCATGGTTAAATTATTTGATTGCTTATACTTTTAACAAAAGGTATTTGTTGGTTAGGCTCCTTAACTAATGTTGTAGTTTTAAAACATCACTTCAACTTTTATTTTGTTTAATATTACTATTTGGTTTATCCAGGAGTAACCCAATGCTCTTTTTATAAAATTTTATTTAAAAGATAATGTTAAAAATTAGATGTTTCTTAATGGTCTTCCTAATAAAATTTGTCACAAAGATTTTACTTTATTTTAGACAGATTATTTAACATTAAGCTACTTTATGTCTAATCTAAGAATTTTGTTTTGCTTTTGCTTTTGTTTTATTTAGAAACTCATAGAATTGTATACTGTCAAGGTCCCCAGAGTGTTATATGGTTCAAATTTATGCCTGAATGTCATTTTGTTCTTATAAAAAAACTTTGCCTTATCGATCCCATTTTAAAAGCTTTCTATGTGCTGAGATTGTGTTATATCTTTTAGTGCTGTCCAAATGTTGAATCATCCTTTCACTCCAGGACTATATTAATTTCTAAATGAATTTTCTTTTCTGTCTATACATTTTTCATTTTCAAAAGATCATTTGGCTGCAATGTCCAGCAAAAGTCATAGTCTTAATTCTCACATGAGCCAACTTGTTTTTCCCTACTCGGGGCTCTGAAGCTTTATTTCTAATTCTTGTGAATATTAGAAATACCTTACAAAGTATGTGATCTGCATAGGTCCATTAACAACTGCTAAGTAAAATTAATTTTGCTTTAAGATTTTTGACTTCACTTATAGTTTTATCTTTTTAGGGCCAATTTTCTTTAACTCTTTTCATTTTAATCATATACCTGATTTAAAAAAAAATTAAATAATTTTTGCTACTTGTCATCCTTAAAGCTTATTGTCTTGAACTTGTTGGCTAAAGTTGGATATGATATACTTATGCATATAATTCTTCCTGAATATTGGGGAAGATTTGTTTGTAAGTCTAGTGTCCTTTTCCTATCTAATATCCAATATTCCATTAAGAAATGATGATGCCTATATAGTAAACAATTAACTTTAACCAAATAGAGATCTGGCTTCCACTCTTGGCTACTGGAAGGTGACCTCTATCTCCCTGGAATGTCTTCCTTGACAGAAGGCTTTTCTTTTTCTTTTTCTTTTTCTTTTTTTTCTCTAGGGCCTTTTGCTATTGGAAAGTCTAACAATGGGATTTGCAATGGGGTTGCTGTAATATGCGATGAGTTCCCACCTCCTGAAAAACTGGTGACTAAAGTTATTAAATTGAACTGTTAGGAGAGGCTGGTGACTAAAGGTCAGCCACTTGGGCAGTGTGTGATCAATCCCCAATAAAACTCTAGGCTTCAAGGGTGCACTTCCTTGGTTGGCAATGATCACTCTTGTCACACACTATATCCATCATTCAAGATGCCACAGAAGATGACCTGAAACTCCACATTTGGCCTTCTCTGAGATTCTGGCATCCAGGCATCTCTTCCAATTTGGCTGATTCTAATTTGTATCTTTTCACTATAATAAAACTTTAATCATGAGTAGAGTGCTTTCTTGAGTTCTTTGAGATTTTCTAGTAAATTATCCAACCTGACAGTGGTCATGGAAACTCTGAAACTTATAGCCAGCTAGTCTGAAGTGAGGGTGGCCTGGGAGCCCTCAAGCTTGTGGCTGGTGTCTGAAGTGAGAGTGGTCTTCTGGAGACTGTGTCTTCAAACCTGCATAGTTTCTCCAACTCAGAATAAAGTCCTTATGTTAATTAATGAAATATGTAAGTACAAGGTGTGCTTCATGTATACCTAGATACAACCACATGAAAAAGATCCACTTTGTTTAAGAAACCTCATTGAGTAACTACTATTTGTCAAGCACTGAGAAAGGGAAGTATTTTAACAATTTCTTTTCTTGCAAGTAATATTATTTTTAACTCATGTATTATGTCATCTTAAAAACATATGCTTACCATAGAGATCATTAAAATATGACAATATCTTAGGATAAATAAAGTCTGAAAAGAAACACTATTTGTGAGCAATTTGAATAACTTGACCTTGGGATACCAGTTAAATTTTAAACCTGTTCAGTCTAAGGGGCTATAGCCTAAAATTCTCTTCTGTTGCCATTAGATGCATAGTGTGATAGTAACAGAATACTCATTCTTGTTTTATAGAGATATCTGAGGAAAGATGAAAAAGATCAATTAAACCACAAAATTTGGCAATTTAAAACAGTCTGCTTTGAAGGGAGATAAAAATGCTTCTCTATTTGAAGTTTTTAAAGGTTTCATTGTGTTTAGAAGTTGCTAGGGATTAAAAACTTCTCGAAAAAGAGTTGAATGATCGCCAAGATTGCTGATAAATAACCCTCTACTGAGTCTGAAGGAAAGTGGTGATTGTCAGACTAGATGACTGGCCTCTTAGAATGCCTTAATTAATAATCTGGGAGAGATTGTAAAAAGCATTCAAATGAAATTTCAAAGATGCTAAATGAAGGTTTTTCAAACACCACAAAATTGGTCAAATTATGTAGCTGGGAATTAGGAACCTGGGATGTAATTATTTCTTTTTTTTAATTTTTATTTATTATTATACTTTAAGTTTTAGGGTAAATGTGCACAATGTGCAGGTTAGTTACATATGTATACATGTGCTATGCTGGTGCACTGCACCCACTAACTCGTCATCTAGCATTAGGTATATCTTCCAATGCTATCCCTCCGCCCCCCACCCCACAACAGTCCCCAGAGTGTGATGTTCCCCTTCCTGTGTCCATGTGTTCTCATTGTTCAATTCCCACCTATGAGTGAGAATATGCGCCATTCCATTACTGGGATGTAATTATTTCTAAGGATTCAAGTGGTAACATTCAGGAAGAGGTAATGACAGTCGTGAGGACAATTTTTGATTCCCATAAGAATATTTGTCTGATCTTGCCTTCCTAATTCACTATGTAGCTTATACATGCTTGTTGAGTGTTTGGCTATATTCTGACAATTTTCACAATTGTCAATGAGCCATCTATGTCATTAGGAATCTACTGTTATGGTTAATTCCTTATATTTAAAAGTGACAAAAAAGGACATGACAATATTCGTTTTGAGAACAATGTCATTGAGCAAACCAGTTATCCAAATAGCGCAGTTTTACACTTCCACCATGAACTTTTTTAGGGGGTTATTTTTATAGTAGAAAACATGCATGTTTTGCTACACAGTTTGCATAGAATTAGTATCTGTTCTTACAGCTAAGAGAAATTCTAAGTGTTATAATTTTTTTCTTAATACTTCTCTTTGATTTTAAAACCTTTGAAATCCCTTAAGACTTACCATCATTTTCCAAGAATTGTGTTGAGAATAATTCAAAATCATATGGTAAATTACTGCTTTTATACCTTCTGTTCAGTGGCAGGAGTGGAAGTGCAGCTGAAAGAGTTAATGTAGCTTCAGTTGGTGTCTATTTACTACCAGAGTGGCAAGCCCCAGGAGAATATGGCTAAGTGCATGTTTGTGGAGTCAGCTAGTAGCAGCAGGATTTCAGAAAATGACTTAATGCTTTGGTCATGTGCTTCAGTTCATATGTAATGAACCTGCACATTGTGAGCGTGTACCCTAAAACTTAAAGTGTAATAATAATAAAATTAAAAAAAAAAGAGTGAAGACAATATTCAGTGTCTTACACCTTCTGAGTGTTTGCCATTATGTTATCCTTCCAGCTGTGAAATGAATTCTGGGCTGTCCTCAAATCCCAGTAAGTAACTAAAACTGCTCTAATGTGAAGAAGTAGGTACCAGAGCAGTAATTACTACACACACTTAAAAATGTACCAAGCCCATTTACCCTGTGTTTTTAAAGTGATACATAGGTTGGTTATACTGACACTAATTAGACTCATGGGTGATGCCACAGGATGGCATAGACAAGGACACAATTATTGCAATCATGGCTTATTCCAAGTCAGGCTTTATAATACTATAAAGACTGGGGGCAGTGGGTGTGGTAGTCAGACCCCAATTTTAGACACAGATTTCAGGAATTTATGGCCAGAATTCAATCTGGCTAGAGAACTTTGAAGTAGCTTTGTGGGTACCAACATATTTAATTGTCAGAAGATGTTGTCTGAGAGGTGAACCAGGACTCCTAAAACAGCATCTTCCTCTGAAGATGGGGCTAAGGCAATTCCAAATATGGTGAGTTCCCAAGAGAATAATGGTGATGGTGCCCAGTCTGACATGTACTGAGAATTCAAGATATATTAGACATTATTCTTAATGTTTTCCATGTATAAACACATTTAGCAATCCAAACTCATTTAGTCTTTGAAGCAGGTTCTGTTATTATTTCTACTTTATGGATAAGGAGAATGAGGCACAAAGTAGCAAGTTATCTGCGGTCACAAAATGGGTCTACTGGGATTCAAACTCAAGCAATGTGATAATAGTTTCTTCACTCTCAATCACAATTTTATGATAATTTAGGAATTTTGACATATTTGGTCCCTTATAACTTAAAGTATATTTGGGAAACCTCAAACTTTGCTTTAGTAAGCAAACTTAACATAGAAAAATAGTTTTGGGCTGTCATTTTAAAAGGAATAAAACTTTGTGATATGCAGTACTTCAATACATCTCAGGAATGTCATCAGGTTAAAATATCTATATCTATATCTATATCTATATCTATATCTATATCTATATCTATATCTATAGATGATTTTTTTTGAGACTGAGTCTCTCTCTGTCACCCAGGCTGGAGTGCAGTGGCGCAGTCTCAGCTCACTGCAACCTCCACCTCCAGGGTTGAAGTGATTCTCCTGCCTCAGCCAAAAAATATATTTTATCAGATCATTGTTATCAGATATATAGGTGTCTTTGTAGATATCTGGCATGTAGTCCTGATTCCCTGCAAGCATGTATTTTAAAAAGGTGCTTGAAACTCCAGAAATAATGTGTTTTGTAGGTATATTTTTCTGAATTGAGTATTTATTGTTTTAAAGATGCTCAGAGTTCTGTGACCCACAAATATTAAAAATCCAATCTATAAATCTTTAGATAATTCTTCTCTCCTTCCTTCTCCTCAATGCCACAGTTGTCTCCTTGAACTCATCTATTTTCATCTTCACTTCTTCCCCTTTTTTATCCCTAGCCCATCACCATGTAGGACCAGTTTCTCTACCATTCTCTCCTTTGCCCACAGCCATAAGAGCTGATAGTAAAGCCAATTTGGTCATCTTTGAAATGAACTCACCATTCTTTTGGCTTACAAAAGGGTCCAAACTTCAACCACGAGTGGTCTGAAGGAGTTTGGTGGTTTCAAGTTCACCTTCCCCCAATTGCTGTTCACTCTTTTGAGTCACCTTAGTATATTATGGTTGCCCTGTCTTCCAGAGCCTGAAACTCAGAAATATCACCCCTTGTCAGAGATTACACAGCAAAACCTGGTTACAGTCTCATGACTTTCTATCTATATGAATGTGTAATTTCTCCCACATATGCTTTCAGGAACATTCCCCCTCTGCTCCTCTTTCAAGGCAGATACAAAAGCAAAAATATACTGGGTAGGGAAAATCCAAATTAGAGGACACGCTCTTCTGGTTTCTTAAATTCTTACTTGAGACAATAACTGGGTATGCTCATCCAGTTCCTGTAGGTCAGAAATCTTAATTTGCAATTGATGTTTAATTCATTCATTTGTTTTTTTTTTTTTTTCATTCGATGGCCTGACATTGGACTACGTGCTAATGACATAACAGTAAATAAGGCAGACTATACTTTTGTCTCATACAGGTTTAATTCAAAGCCAAACTTCCTTTAGGCTTTCTGAACATAAATCTTTAAATCTTGGGTATTTAATGAATTCTGTGTCCCTAAAGTGAGCAAAATATTTTAGTTCTCATCTGAATAGGGCCATTCATATCTTTGTCACTTTCTTGCTAAGTATAGCCACTGAAAAATTACTTAATATTTTGGTTTCTTATTAATTGATGTGCATGTATAATAGAGATAATAGTAATGCAGTATGATTTTAGTGACTAGAAAGTGTCCTAAAAACATACAGTAGTGAGAGAGCTCCAGGTAGTGAGGGGACCATTTGAAATCTCATTTCCATCTGGCTGCTTATGCAAACATTTAACTTGCATTTTGCCCTCTTTATGTATATTTCCTTTGTGGTTGCAGGCATCCCTGATGCCATTATCTGATGTTTGACTTGAAAATTGAACTTGTCTCTTTGAAATATGTTACACAGTTTAAAAAGTGTAAGCAAACTCTGACATTAAAATCAACTTAAGCAGAGACAAACAAATGAATATAGATGGGGGTACTTCACTGCTTTTCCCCTGGCTCCCTCCCCTGACTACCCTTTGGCTGGGATGTGTGCAGTTTGACAGAGCCATAATTCAGTATATGTTCAAAGGCTACAGATTCAGCAGTGAGCACTTAAATGGTACTGTAAGTGATATCTTAACAGCTTCTGTTAGGCTTAAAAATGAATTCTTGTACAGACTAATACATTGTACAATTTTTTAAAAAGATGAATGGAGAAAATATCCTGACTTTAATAGAGTGCTCCTCTCATAATAGCTGAAATTTGTGATTCACCAGCAAGCCCACATAATAGTTTGTGCAGTAGTGGTACTACAGTTTAAGGAAACTTCTTGATTCTAAGCCATAATTAACTAGAATTTATGTTTAATTATTATAAAAAATAGGATTTCAGTAATCATTTTGTTAGCATTTGTTACAATGGTGTGTTTCTGGGCATTGCTGCTCTTGTAATTTTTTTCAGTACATTGAGTACAGCTGTAGGTACTGACTGCTGCAAAGACAGGGCCTGGGACAAATGCTTGTTATGATTGGCTGAGGAGGGCAAGGGTCCTAGGATGGATGACTGGCTTTCTTTAGTCAAGCTAGGAAACCACCATTTGACAGATACCATAGTTCTTGTCTATTGCTATAATCTTAATTGCTTTGGGGAGACCTGAGATGAGACCATAAAGAATATGTAAATATGAACCTCTGAGAATAAGGCAGGACCATTTCTCAGACTTCTCAAGGACACACTGGAAGACCTGTTCATGTAGGTCATTGTTCTTTGATTGGGGTGGGGGTTGAAATCAGTTTTAGTTAGGTGAATATGCGTAGGGAGAAGCTAATAAAAGACTATATACTTTTGTTTGCCTTAAACTTCATCTATCTCTTCAAGTTGTTTTTTGTCTCTAAGAAACTAATCTTCTAAGGGAAAGTGAGGCAACAGCAGTATTTTGAAATCATGTTAGTGTACACTTGCAGCCTCAAGATTCCAAGAAGGCCTATGGAATTTTGTTCTGAGCATATCAGAACTATGTGTTTGCATAAAGGAGCAAACGAGTTCTGAGGCTCCTGTGCATTTATGACATGTGTACAGCAAATGCAGAAGCATTGAAAGAGGAGACAGAGTGTGGGTGCACAGGAGGAGACTAGACCAGATGAACAACACCTACTCTCTCACCTTCTGGGGTAGAAATGGACACAAAGTAAGTGACTAAGAGGAGTGGGTGGATAAGCACATAAAGTTAGGATTCTCTGAGCTCCCTGAATGATATGAACAAGAAAGACTAAACCAGGATTAGGGAAAATCCAGAACACATAAAGAAAATCAGGTCTCTGAAATATTAACAAAACGATGGATTTTTTTAAAGCAGTTTAATTCAATGATTTCAAATTGTATCCTGCCAATTAGGTGCTAATTGGAAGAGTTTAAATTGTGGGAATTTCTACAAAAGGAAAATATGTTTGTCCTTCACATTTCTCGACTCCCTGTAGGACTCACAGGAAACAATTTTTTGTTGTACCGAGGTTAGAGGGGCTTAGCAGCCCAGAAGTGCTAAACAGATTGTTTTACATAGTCAACAGCATTTACTGAGCATTAATTATACAGGAAACATCATATCCTTCACTACATTTTGTCTGAAAAACCGAATATGAAAGATTCTGAGAAGAGACATAGGTTCAAGTTTAGTAACATCAGGGCCTGCATTAAGAAGCAACCTCACTGATCCCATGGTTCAGCTTCAAGGTTCTAAAGATTGTGCGAGAATGAGACTTCTTTACATTTTTTGTTACTTGAGTTTCTTTTTCTTGAAGATAAGCGATAAATTATATCCGACTGAAGCAGGCGCATCTTAGCATTGGTTTCTTCTCTCCAACAAAGGCTTATTCTCCACAGGAGTTTTCTTTAATATGAATAAATTATATCAAATTCAGATCATGCTTATAATCCGATATTGGGATTCAGAGCAGCACTTTTTCCGCAAACAATACCTTTTCTGTCAGGAATACATGTGGCTTTTTCTAAAGACTTTAGTTGGTCAGTTCAAATTTCCCCTCTCTCCCTCTCCTGCCAGTCCTCCCTCTTATCTTTCCCCTCCCCTCTTTGCTTCCTGCTTACTCCTGTGCTGTGCATTAGAACATATTTTCTCTTGGTAGAAGGCGTTTATCACTTCTTATGGGTATGTATCATCACCAGGCGAGTGGATAAGAGCAGTTACAACAAAAATGATAATGAAGAGTTTTCTAGCATGAAGGAAAATAATAGAGCCAGCTCCCTGCAATTTACTTGAGTCATGTACAACTCTGGCTGTTTGATGTTCAAAAGCCACACTAGACCTGCCTTTAATCTTTACATGTATAGGTTTAGCTGCAATTCTTAGCAGAGCATTAGTTCAAAGGGGAGAAATGCAATCACCACCATCACCACCAACAAACCGAAAACATGCTTAGCGGGGCTTAGAAGCCCCAAAGTGCTAAACAGATTGTTTTACATAAGAGATACAGGCTGGGAGAAGCCCGTTAGAGATCCAATATTAAAAACTGTAGCAGAGGTGGAAACAAGTTTCTGTGCAGCAAATTTATGGTCTGAAATATTATGGAATAAAACATTATAGAACAATGCAGTCACCTTCAGGAATTAACATAGTAAACCTGATTTGGATGTGATGTGATGAGCACTGACTCCATGCATGTCTTCAGGTTTCAGCAATTCTGAATTCTAAATGTAAACATGGCCAGGCATTCTGGAAGTATATGTGCTCTGTGTCTGTTTACATAATGGTGTAAGTGTTTCTTCTTTATACAATTAGTGATTTTGAAACTGAGCTTTGTCTTTACATGAAAATAGTATGTATTCTCAGCTTCCCTATATCCCTTATCTATTCCAAATGGGACAAATCAGCAAGTTGGAAGAATTGGTTAATTGCAGCAGCTGTTGCACTAATGGTTTTTGGGTTAATTTGTTTGGAAACAATTTATGGGGAGATGAGTTATTGTTCTCCATAATGAATTTTCAAATATTCAGATTACATTGTCAGAACAGCTGCATTAGCTAGTCTTTAGGAATTATGAAATAATTTATTTTCAGGTACCTTATTCCAGAATGGTTTCTCTCTATAATGGTTTAGGTGATGAGGTTTACCACTCAATAAAAAATTAATGCCTTTGGGGAATTGCCTATTCTTCCGTAGTATAAGTTTAACTATATTGCTATTGTAGAAGTCATATGAATGCAAAATTAGGTCAGTGTTTTGGGTAGATCCAAAGGTTTTCTTTTTGTTTGTTTTTTTTTTCAACTGGAGGCTAGTTTTCAGTAATTTTTTTCACTGTTAAGTAACTACCTTGCAGGTTTAAGAATAACTAGCTGTGTGTGGCTATTGACTTAGCCCTGGACACAATAAGTTATGCCCAGTTATGCCTGTGTGCCTGAGGAAGTGTCTGTCTTTTCCAGAGTTAGCCAATAAAGGGATGAGGCGTACATCTCTCAAACTTATAGATGGAAGGGAAAAAGGCTGTTTTATTTGCAAAACTGCTATTCACACAATTATAAATTTGAAAATTTTGCCTGGATAACTTAATTGAAAAAAATTCCCTTTTTCCTTTTTTCCCTTCAGTTATGTAGCTTTTCAGCTTAATTCAGGTTTATTTTGGTGGCCATGTTCAGAATTTCTCTTAGATATAAGATATCAAGAGAGGTAGTTCTAGTTCACATAGAAAGTCAGACTTCATATCAGAGGATTGGACTTGAGGACAAACTATGTCAATTATCAGCCCTGGAATGTATGGCAAATCACTTCATCTGTCTCTAAGCCTTAGTTTACTCATGGACCAAAGGAAAATGAGAGATTGTTTTCTACCATATCATTGTAAAAATTAAAAGCACAATACAAATAAAAATCATTTTTGTTGTATCCTTTTTGGGGTTTGCTAGCTCACATAAGATGATTTAAAATAAAATTTGCTACAACTGTATAAATAATGTTTCATACTGATTGATCTCATTCCAGCTTAGGATTTAATCCATGGGGTATGAATTTCAGATTAAGGCTTTTATAACTTATTGCTATTAAATAAATGTAAGAGAAAGGGGAACTGTAAGGAAATCTAAATATATTCATTTATCACCTCATTCACTCATTGAACATTTATTATGTTTCTGCAATGTGCATGGTACTTAAAGTATAGGGGAATATAAATTCTTGACTTTATGCAAGGACTGGCATAAAAGTAAGTAATTGTGATATGATTGGTGTTATAACATAGTTTATAGCAGTGTAGGGTCTTAAAAGGAAAAGATTACAATGTTGCCTGGGCATGGGAGGGAGGCGGTGAGGATGGGGGTAGTGCAAAATAGGGTTGTGTAAGGGTTCTTCTTCTGTAGTAGCCCATGGACTGGTGGGGATGCAGATATATAGTTAATTTTAACAAGAAAGATGCTTCGGTAAAGATATGTACAGAAAGACAAAGATATGTACATATGTACAAATATGTACTTCGAGAGCACAGAAGAATGATGATTGTCTCCAGAAGGTGAAAACGGCTTCACCTTGGGAGGAAAGATAATTTCAACAACCCTCTATGGAGGACCCACTCAGTCCTAGGGTGGTGCCAAACACTTCACTTATACTAGCTCACTTCATTATCACAGGGAGAATGGCCTGCTAGTTAACTGTAACCATTCTGAAACCCTATAAATCTGGATTTTCCTCCCAGTTTCTCAGAAATAACTAATTGTATTACTTCAGATACTTAGTCTTTAAGTCTTTTCAGCCACTAAAAAGGGATAAATATCCTGCTTCTCTGAAAAGTTGGCATGGGCATTAGTCAGAGTATATATAAAGTAATTAATCTAGTGCCTAGAACATACTAAACACTGACTATATAGTGCATTCTATGGTTGTTCTTGTTGGAGCAATAGCAGCAGTAATAGGGGTAACTGCAGTAGGAGTGGTGGGAGTACAAGTATATGAGATCAGTGTTTGCATTAGTCCATTCTTATACTGCTATAAAGAAATATCGGAGACTGGGTAATTTATAAAGAAAAGTGGTTTAACTGGCTCATGGTTCTACAGACTGTACAGGAAGCATGATGCTGGCCATCTGCTTGGCTTCTGGGGAGGCCTCAGGAAACTTATAATCATGGCGCTCCATCTAAAAAAAAAAAATCATGGTGGAAGGTAAAGGGGGAGCCAGTACTTCACATAGCCAAAGAAGGAGAAGGATAGAGAGAGGGGAGGTGCTACACACTTTTAAACCACTGGATCTCAGGAGAACTCACTCACTACCATGAAAGCAGCACCAATGGGGAAATCTGCTCCCATGATCCAATCACCTCCCACCAGGCCCCACCTCCAGCATTGGGGATTACATTTCTACATGAGATTTGGGTGAGGACACAGATTTAAACCGTATCAGTATTATTGGCCCCTTTTAAAATATAGGGACGTCAACTCTCAGATGTCCCTATATTTTAAAAAGGGCCAATAATACTGATATGGTTTGGAAACTCCTTAGTTAAGGAGTTTCCTCAATGCTAGTGGGTGACAGAGTCATGATTAGAACTCAGGGTTATCTCATTCCAAAGCTCAAGCTTTTAAATACTAAAAGAAGTTACTATAAAGCTGGTTCCTAAAGCAGCAGGAATATGTCTAAAGAAATCAAGATGAGTACTTCATTTTTGAAGTACTTTTTGAAGGCTCAGGGTGCCATGTCATGCCAATTGGAGAAAGAACATATATATTTTAAAGACATTCATCCACATGATTTCAAATCAAATCCAAAATAGGAATTTGAAAATCAACAGTGTGATTAACACAAGGAACCTTTGTGTTAATTGAAGAAGTTCTTTCAATTTCTTCCTGCTCTGGAACATGAAGAATAATTTCTAGTTATCTACGCAGAACTCATCTTAATCAAAAGTAAAAAGCAGTTTGTATGTATGTATGCATGTGTGTGTTTTTCAATAACCCTATTTCTTTGGAAGATGTTTTTAGAATCCACAATGTTACAGTTTTGCCCCTCCTCCCTTAAATCCAGAGTTCATTGTTTTGGGCATGATACCTCTCAAGCTGTTCTGGAATAAATGTGGCATATTGATGAAGGTGTCAATTCCTACCCTAGGTTTAACAAAACTCTGTTAGTGACAGGCCCCTCTATCTGTAGGCTTTCCTGTTTCAACACCTTGGAACCTGATCTTGGGGAGCAACTGTAGTTCTCCAAAGTGGGGTAGGCAGGGATAGAGTTTTTGTGGGGTGAGCCTGGGCTTTGTGCCAGTAGACTTATGTTCAAATCCTAGGCTAGTAACTCCCCCTTTCATAAACTCAGTTTCCTTATCTAGAAAATATTATCTACCTTACTGGGTTGACATAGTAGTAAGCAATAAGTGGTGACTGTCTATTAACATCACATATGTGATCTAGCTTATTGGATTGATATAGTAGTCAGCAATAAGTGGTAGCTATCATTACATATGTGATACTCAAGAACATTGCTCCCCTCTTCTATGCCAGAAAGGCTGAGGGATCCTGTAGTTTGAAGCCAAAACTTGCTATTTTGGAGGTACTCCTAAAAATCTAGCTTGCTGAATTTTTGACTTCCTACTCCTTTTCCAAAGAGGACAGCAGCCTGTCAATTATCCCATCACCTAGAAACCTTGGCATTTATGAAAAATACGGGTCTGGGACCCACGTAGGCAGAGTTGACCTGCCCTCACTTAAAGGATCCTGTGAACTCTTTGCATCTGCTTTCCACTTCTCTCCCCTCACTTGTAACTGACATACCCAATTAATGCCATATTCTATGTGGCTCTGGGTATTTCTCCTCTGATCACATCGCCCAAGTTACGCCCCTGCTCTTTTTTCTTTGACTCATTATTACTGACAGGTGCCCAGACACTACATTTGGGACTTTGTGCTGGATGTGTCCGTGTTGCTGATGTTCGCTCCATATTTTGCTTGTTTCCTCACTACCGTAAAGTCTCTATCTATGCCATAAAGCCAATGACATGCTGTCGGATATACTAAACCTTTCCTGAGAGCCAATAAGAGCCAATGTAATCAGTGTTGTCAATGCATATTTTGGGGTGGAAAGTATCTATGTCACCATAAAACACTTCAAAAATCCACAGAAAAATGATAAGGCATATGCAAAAAACTGGAAAATGGACCTTAGGATGGTGACTCGACTTTAAAATATATCTGCAGGAAGGTAAACCCAAAACAAATGCATTCTAATGGTTAACTTTATCTCAATATTTCAAGCTGTTTTGAAGAAAACACCAATACTGTTAAGAATACCTCAGTATCAACCTTGGGCTGATCTAGCTGATACAGTATTATCCTTAGTTTCTAAAGAAAACAGTGATTGCTTTGGGTGAGGAGGAAATCATCCCTAATTTTATTGTGTAGAGTTCATATGTGTGAATAGCATATATGAAAACACACACACAATCACTCATGTATAAATGTTGAGTCCCATACAAGAAAATATTGCCTTAGCTTGGAAATACAAGATAAATATGACATAATACATTTCTCTCAAGAATTTTACACATAATTTAGTCTGAGAGATATTTTATTCTACACAGTGTAGGAAGTGATATACCACAAAAAAGTGAGAAATAAAATGCCATAGGATTTCACAGAGGGGTAGAGTTCAGATCACGTCCATATAAGAATATCATGCCTAAAACTTAAGAGCTAACAACAATCACCATTAATTTGCTCACAATTCTGCAATTTCAGTAAGGCTAAATATGGGTAGCTTGTCTCTGCTTCAAGTCGTGCTTACTAGGATTGTTTGACTAAAACTGGAGGATCCAAGATTTTTTTACTCACATGTCTGGCATCTTACCTGGGTTGGCCGGGTCTTTCTCTGTTGCCCTTCATGGTCTCTCATCCTCCAGAGCCTCTGTTTCTAGGAGGAAGATCAGACTTCTTTACATGGTTGCTGGTTTCAAAGAAGGTGAAAGTAGAAGCAGCGGGCTCAGTAAAATCTAGACCTATACCTGGCAAAGTGTCACGCCTGCCACATTCTATTGGCTAAAGCAAATCACAAGAGTGGATTATATTCAAAAGGAGGGAAAATAGCATGTGTATATAGTTGTGGGAAGAATTGTTGGTGGCTATCTTTGGAAATAATCTACCACATTGGCCTTATAAAATTTGTAAAATTGAGGCACGTGGAAATGTGAAGAAAGAATATTCTAGGTGGAAGAAATTAACTAAGCAAAGGTTAGAAGTAGGAAAGTATATGAAAAAAAAATTGCTGAATATTCTTAGAGCCCAGACTCTGAAGGGTGATTGAAATTAGACTCTGGAGACTGGTCTATAGCTGAGGAGTCTCTCAATGTTCCTCATGAAAATTCATGCACAGCCTCCTCGTGCCCATTTCTGGTATCCATTGGCTTTAGATCTGCCTACATATGTTCACTACAGAACTGGAAGTGTGCTAAAGAAGAAAATAAAAAAACAGATTAGAGGCAGAAGAATATTCTCTCATAAGCAAAAGAAGCATGAAGCCAGTATCATCCTCCAAATCACTAGAAAAAATGATGATTCATAGGTCATTAAAGGAGAGGAGTGGCTTGGCCTATGGAGGAGCCATTTTGCAACATTGGTCTTATAGGCTCACTGTACCCAATAAATAGCCTCTATAGGGGTAAAGTTTGTAATTAAATGTGTCATGGAGTAGGACACTACTGCATTAAACAAAATATAAGGAATTTAAGAGAAATTTAGAATAATTTTACAGATATCTAGAAATTTTATGTCAATAAGCTAACCTCTGTTTGAGAATAATAATTCACTAATATTTTCATTCCTGCTGTTTTAACAAAGAAAAGATTGGAGTCATAGACTCTGTAGACTTGCTGAGATATTTTTGAGAGTTCATCTTTATTTGACAAATTTTCAACTTCATTACTTTGTGTTGTGATTTGCAATAAAATTGGGCAAAAAATCCTCCTATAAATAATAACAAAAGTAAAACAACCAAGTTGGAAAATGGATGAAGGAAATGAATGGACAAGTCACAGAAGAGAAAAGTTATGTGGCAAATAGAATGATGAATCAACATTCATTCATCGATAGTACAAAGAACTAAGAATTAAAATAATAATATCCTACTTTTTAAATATTGTGTTAATTAAAAAATTAAAGTAATGAAAACAGCTATACCTGGTAAGTGTGTCAAGAAAAAGTCACTGCTATGTATGAATATGTATTACTATTCATATTTTAGAATATACTTTGGTGGTATCTGTTAAATTCAAAGCATGCCTACCCTTTGGCTCAGCAATTTCACACCTATTCTAAGGAATATCAGCACCAGTTTATCAGACTATGATGAGAATATTTATTACAACATGGTTTGTGGTGGCTAAGTATAATAATGATTTTAATGGCCACTAACTTAAGAATGGTTGATAAAATTGTGTTACATTCATGCTATGGAATATTATCACAGATTATAAAGAATGAGTCAACAATACATTAATTGACTTGAAGGGATTTTCATAATAAACTACAAGAAAAGCAAGTTGCAGAGAAAAGCCCATGGCATGGTTCCTTCTCTTTTAAAATGACTCCAAATATTTCACCTTTATGTGTATGGGTGTTTTACATGAATCTTTGAGCATGGAGGATATTTTGAAAGGTTGGAAGGGGCTGATGTGGGAAATAAAGGGGAATAGAAGAGGTAAAAATACAGCAAGGCATAATAAATGTTAAAAAATATAGCCTATAGTGTTCTATTATATAACTGTAAATATTTTTAAGTAAAATATCTACAGATTTACAAAGTGACAAAACAAAGAGTAACATTTGTTATGAAATCCCATTGTATTAGTGGTGCTACCTAAAAATAATTAAAAATAATTAGACTAATGTAAATTTCTGATGAAGAAGAAAATATTCAATATCTCAACTAAAGTAATGAAATACATGTTTTATTATTAACCAACTTTTTATTAACGGGAAAATAATTCATTTACACTGTCAAAAACTCAACTAGAATAAATGGCATGCTGGAAAAATGAACCTCATTCGCAGAACTTTAAGCCCTACTCAAAGGTGATCACCAACAGTTTCTCCTGAATCCTTCAAAAAGATAATCTATTTGTGGCCAAGAAGATAGGTAGATAGATATCCAAATATATATACATACATACACATATACCCCATTGTATGCATATGAGAGCATACACAATAAGTTCCTATGTCTATTGTTTTTTTCATTTAATAATATATTATGGAGATTGCATAATATCAGCACATTCAGACACAACTGCCTTCCCAGAGGTAAATCACTACTTGTGAAATTTTTTTTAATGATCAAGCAAACTTTTCATTATGAATTTCACAAGGATCAAACATATGTCTGTAGAGACAACTGGAGTGTAAGGAGATGACCATGGCCAAGCAAAGATGATAAGTAAACAGTGTTTAGCTATCAAGGCCAGCTATACTCAAGAGTCCACGGACGTTTACTGTTGATAAAAAGTTTTTATGGTACTACCACCAGAGATAGTGTTTGAGAAGTCACAATGCCCGCTATCATTATAAACAGCAAGGAAAAGGCCTCAGAGAGGGCAGTCCCATTCCATGATTTCCCTGGTTCATCTTCTCATGCAGCTCCTCCTCTCTGAGCTACTCATTCTACTACTTTCCATTCTTTAACTTGCACAAGTGAGTAAATTACGAGGGGACAGTGCAGAGAAGAGATACTTTATGGGCATAGATGAGCCTTTCAAGTATTTGATTTTTTTTTTAGAAACACTGGCTTTCCTTTTAAAACATTTTACATATCCTTTCTCTCTCTTTTTTTTTTTTTTTGCAGGAAGTCTTTTTTTTTTTTTTAATTATACATCAAGTTCTGGGATACATGTACAGAATGTGCAGGTTTGTTACATAAGTATACATGTGCCATGATGGTTTGCTGCACCCATCAAACCGTCATCTACATTAGGTATTTCTCCTAATGCTATCCCTCCCCTAGCCACCAAACCCCCAAAAGTCCCCATGTGTGATGTTCCCCTTGCTCTCTCCATGTGTTATCATTGTTCAGCTTCCACTTGTGAGTGAGAACATGTGGTGTATTGTTTTCTATTCCTGTCTTAGTTTGCTGAAAAATGATGGTTTCCAGCTTCATCCATATCCCGGCAAAGGACATGAACTCACCCTTTTTTATGGCTGCACCATATTCCATGGTATTTATGTGCCACACTTTCTTTATCCAGTCTATTATTGATTGGCATTTGGGTTGGTTCCAAGCCTTTGCTATTGCGATTAGTGCTGCAATAAACATGTGTGTTCATGTGTCTTTATAGTAGAATGATTTATAATCCTTTGGGTACATATCCAGTAATGGGATTGCTGGGTCAAATGGTATTCCTGGTTCTAGAACCTTGAGGAATCGCCACATTGTCTTCCACAATAGTTGAACTAATTTACACTCCCACCAAGAGTGTAAAAACGTTTCTATTTCTCCACATTCTCCAGCATCTGCTGTTGTTTCCTGACTTTTTAATAATTGCCATTCTAAGTGGCATGAGATGGTATCTCATTGTGGTTTTTATGTGCATTTCTCTAATGACCAGTGATGATGAGCTTTCTTTCATATGTTTATTGGCTACATAAATATCTTCTTTTGAGAAGTGTCTGTTCATATCCTTTGCCCACTTTTTGATGGGGTTGTTTGTTTTTATTGTAAATTTGTTTAAGTTCCTTGTAGATTCTGGATATTAGCCCTTTGTCAGATGGATAGATTGTAAATGTTTCTCCCATTCTGTAGTTTGCCTGTTCACTCTGATGATAGTTTCTTTTGCTGTGCAGAAGCTCTTTAGTTTAACTAGATCCTATTTGTTAATTTTAGGTTGTGTTGCCATGGCTTTTGGTGTTTTAGACATGAAGTCTTTGCCCATGCCTATGTCCTGAATGGTATTGCCTAGGTTTTCTTCCAGGGTTTTTATGGTTTTAGGTCTTACATTTAAGTCTTTAATCCATCCTGAGTTAATTTTTGTATAAGGTGTAACGAAGGGTTCCAGTTTCAGTTTTCTGCATATTGCTAGCCAGTTTTCCTATTATTTATTAAATAGGGAATCCTTTCCCTGTTGCTTGTTTGTGTCAGGTTCGTCAAAGATCAGATGGTTGTAGATGTGTGGTGTTATTTCTGAGGCCTCTGTTCTTTTCCATTGGTCTATATATCTGTTTTGATACCAGTACCATGTTGTTTTGGTTACTGTAGGCTTGTAGTATAGTTTGAAGTCAGGTAACATGATGCTTCCAGCTTTGTTCTTTTTGCTTAGAATTTTCTTGGCTATGCGCGCTCTTTTTTGTGCCAAATGAAATTTAAAATAGTTTTTTTCTAATTCTGTGAAGAAAGTCAGTGGTAGATTGATGGGGATAGCATTGAATCTATAAATTACTTTGGGAAGTATGGACATTTTCACAATATTGATTCTTCCTATCCATGAGCATGGAATATTTTTCCATTTGTTTGTGTCCTCTTTTATTTACTTGAGCAGTGGATATTAGTTCTCCTTGAAGAGGTCCTTCACATCCCTTGTAAATTGTATTCCTAGGTATTTTATTCTCTTTGTGGTAATTGTGAATGGGAGCTCACTCAGGATTTGACTATTATTAGTGTATATGACTGCTTGTGATTTTTGCACATTGATTTTGTATCCTCAGACTTTGCTGAAGTTGCTTGTCAGCTTAAGGAGATTTTGAGCTGAGATGATGGG